>NC_000006.12:6423636-6575151 GCF_000001405.40 Homo sapiens | reverse complement strand
TCCTAGTTTCCATATATTATTTCCCTTCAAACTGAAGAACTTCTTTTAATGTTTTCTGAAGTGTAGATCTGCTGGTAATTAATTATCTCAGCTTTTATTTTCCTGAAAATGTCTTTCTTTTACTTTTTATTTTTGAAGAATTCTTTAACTGTATATAGAATTTTGATAACAGTTATTCTTCCAGAACTTTAAATATTTTGTTTTATTGTATTCTGGTTTACATTAAATCTCATGAGAAGTTAAGGATTATTTTTACTTTTGTTCCTCTGCATCTAGTGTTTTTTTTTCTTTGATTGCTCTTAAAATTGCCTGTTTATTTTTGGTTTTCAGAAATTTGACTGCGATGTGTCTTGCTATGATTTTATCTGTGTTTATCCTACTTGAGGTTCTTTGAATCTCCTGGAGCTATGAGTTGAATTACAATTTGGAATATTTAAGGCTATTATTTCCTTAATTATTTTTTTGCTTTATCTCCTCTCTTTCTGGGACTCTGATTACTTGTATGTTAGACTGATATCACCACACAAATACTTAAGCTCTGTTTTTTTTCATCTTATTTCTCTCTGTGTTTCAGTTTGGATAATTTCTATTTGAAATTTAAAATATAATATTTTTTATTGTAAATAATGTTTTCAGTTCCAATATTTCCATGTGGCTTCTTTGATAATGTCCATTTCTCTGCTGAGACTACTCATCTGTCCATTCATTATGTTTATCTTTTTCTTAAAGTCCTTGTCAGCTAAACTCAATATGAGACATGTCTTTGTGTTTCTATTAACTGATATATTATGGGTTCCATTTTCCTGCTTCTTTACAGTGTCTAGTAATGTTTTCATTCTATGCTGGTCATTGTGAGAGTTTGAATTATGTGGACCTGCCTCAAAGAATATTGAATGTTGTTAACATAGTCTTGTTAGCAAAAAATCTTGAGTAGTAAACCCACGGCAGCTCAGGTTGATTATGCTGAAATTTGGTTTAGGTTTTGTTAGTGTAGGCCTAGAATAATCCTCACTATAGGGCTAAGAGGGGCTCTGTCTCTGAGATGTGTCTTTTCTTGGGTTTCAGTTGAATTCCTACAGTCTCTTTACTCTGGCTGATCAAATTCAAATGTCTGTCAATAATGAGTAACCTCCAGGATCTCTGTCAGTTCCCAGCCTTTCTTTAGTTGTTCTTTGTGAGGCTTTGCAGAATTTTGCCCTGCATAGTGTATAACTTTGTATTTAGCCAAACAGTCCAGAGGGCTCATGAAAATCCAGTTATCTGAATATCCCCAAACTCCAATCTTTGTTTTCTCACTCCAGTTAGACTGCTGCTGTGTTTTGGGTGCTACTTCCCTGTGCCAGGCAGAAAGTCAGAATAATTGAGGACATCACTTTGTATTTCTCTTATTTCAAGTATTACAGCCCCATGCTGCCTGTTGTCCAATTCTTGAAAATAATTGCTTTGTATATTTTATCCAGTTTTACAGTTGCTTAGGGTGATGGGTATGTTTGATGCTCATTACTTCCTCATGACAAAAAGCCCCTAGAAACCTTAGAAGATTATTTCGTTTGAACCTAAATTTGCCTGGTTCCCAAGCTGATCTTGCCACTATACCGGTAACTGGCAGATTTCACAACTAAATAAAATAAACAACTTTTGGTCAATATGTGAGAAACTCACAAGTAACATCACACTTAACTGTGAAAGATTGAAAGCTTTCCTCCTAACACCAGAAACAAGACATGGATTTCCACTTTTACCATTTCTATTCAACATAGTACTGGAAGTTCTAGCCAGAGAAAGTAGGCAATATAAATAGTAAAAGGCATTCAAATTGGAAAGGAAGAAATAAAATTATCCTGCTTAGCAGATGACATTCTTATATGTAGAAAACTGTAAATATACACATGCGCACACACATACACACATGCACACACTGTCAATGAACTTAATAAAGGTACTGAATACAAAAAAGCACACAAATACCAGCTGTGTTTCTATTCATTAGCAACATACAATCTAAAAAGGAAATTAAGAAATCAATTTCATTTACAACAGCATCAAAAATAATACAATACTTAGGAATAACTTTAACCAAGGAGACAAAAGCCTTATACACTGAAAAGTACATAATATTTTCAGAAGAAAATTAAAGAAGACATAAATAAATGGAAAGACATCTGTGTTCTTGGACTGAAAGACTTAATATTGTTAAAATGTTAATACTACCAAAAGCAATCTACAAATTCAGTGCAATCCCTATCAAAATCCTAATGACATATTTTGCAAAAATAGAGAACTCATCCTAAAAGTTATATGAAATCTCAAGAGACCCCCAAAATCCAAAACAATCTTGAAGAAAAAGAACAAATTTGAATGACTCACGCTGCCTGATTTCAAAACTTACAACAAAGCTACCGTAATCAAAATATGTGTTATTGGCATAAAGATAGACATATAGACCAATTAAACAGAAGAGAGAACCCAGAAATAAACACTCAAATACATGGTGAATTTCAACAGGAGTGCTGCTAAGACCACTCAATGGGGAAAGACAGTTGTTTTAGTTTTTGTTTTGTTTTGTATTTTTTTTTAAGCAAATGATGCTGGGAAAACTGGATACTCGTATGCAAAAGAATGAAGCTGGACCCTTACCTTATACATATACAAAAATTAACTCAAAGTGGATTGAAGACCCAAATTTAAGATCTAAAATGATAAAAACTTAGAAGAAAACATAGGGAGAAATCTTCATGACATTGCATTTGCAATGATTTCTTGGAAATGATACCAAAAGCATAGGCAAGAAAAGAAAAAAATAGACAAATTGGACTTCATAAAAATTAAAACTTTTGTGCATCAAAGGACCCTATCAACAAAGTGAAGAGACAACTCACAGAATGGGATAAAATATTTACAAGTCATATGTCTCATAGGGGATTTATATCCAGAATATATTAAAAAAAAAACCCTTACAACTCAAAAACAAAACAAATAATCCAACTCAAAAACAGGCAAAAGTGTGAATAGGTAGAAAGAAGATCTATAACACATGAAAAGATGCTCTGCATCATTAGTCATTAGGGAGATGTAGATTAAAGCTATGATGAGATACTACTTTACATCCATTAGGATGGCTAATTTTAAAAAACTGGAAAATAAGTGTTGACAAGGATGTGGATGTGAATTCTCTCAAATGCTGGTAGAGATATAAAAGGTGCAGCCATTGTAGAGAACAGTTTGGTGGTCCCCCAAAAAGTTAAACATAGAATTACCGTATGATTCAGCCATTTCACTGCTAGGTGTATACCCAAATGAATTGAAAGCAAGGACTTAAACTGATACTTGTGCACTGATGCTTATAACATTATTCACAGTAGCCAAAAGGTGAGAAAGAAGCCAAATATCTATCAACAGATGAATGGATAAACAAAATGTGGTATATACATACAATTAAAAATTACTTAGCCTTAAGCAGGAGTGAAATTATGATATACTACAACATGGATGAACCTTGAAAACATTACATTCAGTGAAACAAGCTAGACACAAAAGGACAAACATCGTATGATTCTACTTATATGAGGCACTTAGAATAAACAAATTCATAGAGACAGGATGGTGGTTACCAGGAACTTGGGGGAGGGGAAAATGGGAAATTATTGTTTAATGGTTACCGAGTTTCTGTTTGGGGTGATAATAAAATTCTGGAAATGATGGAGATGGTTGCCCAACACTGTGAAGGTACTTAATGCCACTAAATTTTACACTTAAAAATTGTTAAAATGGTTTCTAAAAATGAGGCTAAACTAGGATTGCTAACTTTTTATTTTGTAACAAATGCCATTAGAAAAGAAATTCCATCTACTATTGCTATAATTGTTTTAAAAGAAAGGATAGTTTAACACCAAAAAAAGGTGATGAAAGATACAATCTTAAACTAAAGGAGTGTTCTTCACAATCAGGACAGTTCATAACCTCACACTGACGTTTATATTATTATTGTTTGTTTGTTTTGTCTGAGTCTGGTAAAAATGTTTCATGTATCTGTGGGCAAGCATTTCAGAACTACTTGGAGCCGAGCCCAGGATACCAGGGACATTTTATAGTGGCAGAGAGCCCTGAGAGATTGTATACAACACAGTCTAGATTCTTTATATGATCCCTGAGATACATACTATACATTGTATGTTGAAAATTTTACTTGTAATATTCATAACAGCCCAATATTCTGAGATATGCAGGGAAGGAGTGCTCTAGTAGCATACTTCTATAACATTTGTATCTTTTAAAATAATAACCATACAGCACTTGTGCAATTTATGAAGAAAATTTAAAAATGGTGTTGAATTAGTTGGAGCAGGTAGAGATTCTTTCTTTCCTTCCTTCCTTCCTTCCTTCCTTCCTTCCTTCCTTCCTTTCTTCTTTCTCTTGCTTGCTTGCTTTTTGAGACGGAGTCTTGCTCTGTCATCAGGCTGGAGTAGAGTGGCATGATCTCAGCTCACTGCAACCTCCGCCTCCCAGTTCAAGCAACTCTCCTGCCTCAGCCTCCCGAGTAGCTGGGACTACAGGTGTGCACCACCACACCCAGCTAATTTTTGTATTTTTAGTAGAGATGGGGTTTCACCATGTTGGCCAGGATGGTCTGGCTCTCTTGACCTTGTGATCCACCTGCTTTGGCCTCTGAAAGGTTTCTTTCATTTTTAATGTCATTTTCTCAAACCTTAAAAAATACCTGCAGGATCTTCAAAGTCAGCCTGCTGGTGTAGTATCACCATTATTGTTTTTCCTTAATTTTTACTCCATGACAAGAGAAAATTTGAAAGTGATCAGCTTTTTTGATTTTTGCAAAAGGGAGCTGTTTTTCTGCTGTGGTGAGTTGTCTTTGACAGATTAATATAACATGTTAAAACTGATATGTCAGGAAATATTTAAACAAATTAACATGTCTATTAAAATGTAAATTGTGGACATACATAAATATTTACTCCTTTATTGAACAGGACAAGCACATCTCCCCTGACCATACCTAAATGTTTGAATTTTCTCCAAGGACAAAGCTGGAGACAGTTGGCAAAAATGGAGGGCATATACATGAAGGAATTACTGTGTTTTATTGGCTTAACCTCAGGTGTGCCGGTGGCTTAGCCCTTTGGAGTGAATGGCAGAGCCGAACCCTTTCTAGGAGTGCAGATATGAGGTCATCAAATTTCTGATGGCTGTGAATCATATCTGCTAGACTTTCTCTCCTTAGAGATGAGGAAAGCCTGTTTGTATTGAATATTTTTTTTTCCAGGTCAGCTGCAGCAAGGAAAAAGAGAGGAAATTAACTGCTTTCTACAAACTTTTTGCAATAGCCTTCATATCTAAGACTAAAGACTCCACTTGATTCAAACTGGGAACAGATTTTAAAATGTCAGGGACAGCTGGGGAGTGATTCTTTCAAAGTCCCAGGGCTCAAAATACTTGTCAGGCTAAGAGAACAAGGAGAAAGAGGCAGTACTCCAGCTGTTCAAATAGAAACTGTTGCCTCCAAAAGATTCCCTTTAAAACAAGCCATTCCTCCTCTTGCTCCCCAGCCTGCTCTCTGGTAGACCTCTTCGAGTTCCACTCAACGTTAGCTTCCATCCTGCAAACTTATAAGCTGTTCTTGACTCTGTCTCATTCCTCACATCCTCAGTGTGGCGTGTGGAAAGAAGAGGAACCAGAAAAGAATGTTTGTGAAGTTCTGGCTTGAATCTCGTGCCGGGAGGTGAGTCTGCACACAGCCCCCGATCCTTCTAAATGCACGAGGATGACGACTTCTATTTTCCCAGGGATGTCTGAGCTTCCAGCGAAGCAGTCTATGAAAAAGCATCTGTTGCGAAGTAGGCATTCAGTACATGTAAAAAACAAATGCACACACAAACCAACGCTTCCCTTATTGCATCATTTCTCAGTTCCATCCCTCCTTTGCATTCTTACCGCCTCTCCAGCCCTGGCCTGTGCAACCTTGAGACTGAGTTATGGAATAGCCTTTGGTCCTGTCCTGCCTGGAGTCTCTCTTTCCAAGCCCTTCTCTGGGTCACGGGGACAAAGTGCTCTGACCCCCACCTGACACACTGGTCTTTCTATGCACAGAACCCTGTGCATGTTCTTTTCTACTTTTAGGTTGGCGGTCAAAGTCCTTGGTCTGGAATTGGCTTTCAGAGTTAATTTTCCCAAAGTTGGTCTTCACACCTTGCTCCTTGGGCCTCCTTGTTTACAGGGAGGATAAAGGTTTGCCTTCTCTTCCCTTTATAAGCAAGTCACGGGGCTCCCACCTCCACCTTTGTCCATGCAGTTCTTCCTTGACTTCTTTGCCTTTCCTCTGCTTCACAGCTACTTTCCGTGGACTTTTCCCAACTACACCCTGGAGGGTCTGTCTTCTCTTACCTCCATTGCACCAGCAGAATGGCTTGGAATTTATCAGAGGTCACACTCTGTTTTGTATAAGTTCTGGGCCCTTGTCTGGTTTAGAGCTCCTTGAGGGATTGGCATATACAGCTTTAGACCTTCAGAACCTAGCATTGCTTCAGAGGGGCCATAAATACAGGTTAATGAGGAGGAACAGAATAGGATAGGTATTCCCCTGACCCGCCCAGGGACCTCCCCTGATGCTCGTAGCCCTGTCTTGGATAATTGTTCACTGCTATTGGAACATAGGCTTTACTGTTCATTTATTCTTTAACATGTTTTTATTAAGCACCTACTGTGTATTAGGCACTGTGGTAGGCACTGGCAATGCAATAGTGAAGAAAGCATTTCCTAAGTCCTTTTTGCTTATAGAAGCTTCATTTCAAAATTACTTGCAGAAGGGTAGGGGTGAGTCCAGGTTTTGTGGAGCCTAGCACGTTTATAATTGATGGGCCCCCTTGGGAAAAAATATAAAATTTCAAATACAAATGAATATTTTGATTCAATGTTTAAAATGATAAAAGAAATAAAACATTATTAAATATTATTAAATTTATTAAATTTAAAACACTGACCAGTACCACAAACATTGAAAAATACACGAAAAAGCATTTCAGCTAGTTTTCTATGTAGTTTTCCTAAGTACTTGTTTCTCTTAGACATTTTTGACTTCCCTCTCTTCAGATGAAAGTTTTGTAATATTTTCCTAGAAAGAAGCTAGGAAGATAATTAAGTCTTCCCTCTAGCATTGTTGATTGAATTTGTTATTATTGCTGATAGTTTACAACAAATGAATTTTTAGTTCCCCAATTAGTTATGGGTAAATTTTCAGGATTAATGTCAAATTTGGGCAAATGTCTACTGAGTTTCCCTTATACAGTAATTATAAGATTCAAGGGCTTTCCAACTTTTCTCCTATACTAATCTCTAAAAAAAAATCTTCAAGTTGGAGCCGAAAACCGAATACCACATGTTCTTACTTGTAAGTGGGAGCTAAACACAAGGTGCCGTGGACATGAAGATGAAAGCAATAGACACTGGGGACTCCTAGAGTGGGGAGAGGGGGAGAGGGACAGGGCTGAAAAACTACCTCATGGGTGCTATGCTCCCTGGGTGGTGGAGTTATTTACACAATAGACCCATGTCACAAACCTGCACGTGTGCAGCCCCTGAATCTAAAATCAAAGTTGAAATTATTTTTAAAATAATTCATTCTCTTAACAAAAAGGGGAAAAAAGAAGATGGTTTGTTTATAATTGTTTTAGTTGAATCACCAACAATATTTCTAATAGGAGAGAACTTCCATTTTGCCTAGGTGCCTGTAAGGACTGAAACTTCCACTTGCAATGATACAAGCCTGCTGATTGGAAACATTCCCCACAGATTCCATTCCAAACCTTGTTTCTCCCCACCCCACCCACTGGTCTCTGAGGGTTGGTGCTATGGAGAGACTCTAAGGCATGAGCTGTCTGGTCAGTGTTGGTGCGTCAGCAGAATGGGTGGTAGGACCATCCCAGAAGCAACTCCTGCACCAGAACCCCCAGCATTGATGCTACATAAGTGACTGGGGATCACAAACATATACCCCTCTTGACCAATCGAATGGATGCCCAATACCAATCTCCCTTTAGCATCATCCTCAAAATGCCCTCAGCCACTCCACACCACCAGATAGGTCCTGGAAAGGGGCCATGGGAGTGAGGGCTGGCCAGTCGACGTCATCCACTTCATAGTAAGTCTGCCTGTGGCAAAGGAAAGAAGTCGGCTCTGGGCTTATTGCCATGGACTGTGGAGGGACTGGAGTCCTTCAGAATGGTGCTCCCCAGAGTGAGAGCCATGGACCAGCAGTGTCAGAGTCACCTGGAGCTTGTAAGAATGCAGATTCTTGGGCCCTATCCTAGACCTACTGGATCAGAACTGAGATCTTCAGGTGGTTCTGATGCATACTAAAGATGCAAGGATCATTACTTTAGAATTATATATCCAATATGATAGCCAGTCACCATATATGGCTATTAAAGTTGATTAAAAGGAAACAATTTCTAGTGCTCAATAGCCACATGTGGCTAGTGGCTGTCATAGTGTACACTTAGACATTGAGCATTTCTATCATCAAAGATGCTTCTGCTGGACAGGACTGTTTAGAATACATGCCATCCAGGTGTGCTTCCATCCCAAACTCCTTCCCACTATGGCCAGTTATATGGCTAGCATTATATAGCATATATTCAACTATATCATCAACTATGGCATGATCCCACTTTATCAACATTATGTATTTATATGTGGACCTTTCCAACTATAAACTATGTGAGTTCCAGGACCCTGGGTTGTTCATCTTAAAACCTGCAAAGCCTAGCCTTGAGTCTAATACATAATGTTAAGTGTATGTTTGTGCCACAAACACCTAAATGAAATATATCAAGATATGTTAACAAAGGATGCAGAAGTTTTCCTTTCTTCTGTAATTATAATTCATATGTTTATCTTGTGTTATGTAATGCCCTTATTATCAATGCTCTGGTTTGGGGGAGACTAAGTCCACTTGCATTTGATGAAGGCCACTGGCCTCAAGTTTGTACCTTTTGCTCCACTATGACTATTTGGGAAATATACTCTTTGGCAAAATAATCTCTGTCTTTCAGAAGCCCCAGGTTGATCTTGAATTAAATAACACAGGCAGGGAAAAACACTGATGATAGTGCCATTCACTCAATAACACCAAGATAAGAACCAAATTATTCCACCTACTTAAATCATTTTTGTCTAGCTCACAATAGGAAGATAATTTAATTTCAGGAGATTGGAAACATTGATTGAGCAGTGAGTCCCTAAGGCATTTATTAGACAAATAAGACCAATGAAGAAGAAATATGTTTTTCATCTTTAAATTTCCATAAAAGATTTATAGCCAAACTTGGTAGAGTTGACTTTAAAAATATAACAGTTCCCACAAAAGTGGATACTCACAGGACATGGTAGATAAGGATACAGCAGAGGAGCTGACAACAGGTGGCCTTGGGTTTTACGCTGTGTCAGTACCTCTCTTGCCTGCAGTCTTTGGCCTGAAGCCCAAGGTGAAAAAGCCAAGGGGCAGCCATTGCTCCAGTGTGCAAGAGTGTTTCACTTATTCATTATAGCCATGATTATAGGGGGTACCGGCTATGCACGATTTTTTTCCCTCCAGGAAGAAAGAGATGTAAAAGAATTTTAAAATTTTATTTTAATAAATGTCTCAGGTTGGGCTTAGTGGTGATGAGATCGCAGGGGGATTTGTCTAGTGTATTCCAGCCTTTCTCAGCATCTAATGATAAAAAACAGTGTCAGGTTTCTGCTTTCCCCCCACCCCACTAGGCTGTATTTACACTAATCAAGCCATATCTTCTTGACAATCTCATTCCATTTTGACTGTCTTCCAATTCCAGCCACATTTATTTACCTGTAGTTTGCTTGCACCGAAAGTGTGGGAATACAGTTAAGGACAACAGGTGGAGAAAGCTGGCTGGGGGAAGGAAGGAGAATCCCAGGCTATATCCAGGCTGGGCCCAGTATGAGACTCCAAAGAGATGAGGCAGAAGAGGACCCCTGGTTAGTACTACTCAGATAGGTCTCCTCGTCCCTGGTCGTGGCAGGAAAGTTTAGGGTTTGCTCATGCGTGGGGCCCTTGGTCAACACCTACCCTGGCTTTAGCCCAGGGGCTTCACTGCTGCTCAAATCTGAGCAAGGAGCCAATTTAGCTGCATTTCCAGAAAGTATCCCCCCTGATTTCAAAGACAGGAATCTGGACCCATTCATAGGTGGTGGGAACTGCAGTAGAAGAGGTGTGGATTTTAGGGACAGGAAGACCTGGTTTTAAAGCCCAGCCTTGCCTCTTAAAGGCTTTAACTGAACTACCTAACCCTCAGTCTCCCCATTTGTAAATGGTGAGGTAGTATAATAATAGTTATTGAAGTTCACAACTTTGAACATCCCCTTCTCAGCAACTGACAGGACTACTAGGCAGAAGATCAACAAGGATATAGAACATCTGAATGGTGCTATCAACCAACTGCATTGATTGACATACATAGAACACCCACCCAACAACTGCAGAGCACACGCCTTTGAAAACTCCCATAGAATGCTTACCAGGATAGAGCATAATATGGTTTGGTTCTGAGTCCCCACCCAAATCTCATCTCGAGTTGTAATCCCCACCTATCAGGGGAGGAACCAGGTGGGACGTGATTGAATCATGGGGGTGGATTTCCCCCTGCTGTTTTTGTGATACTGAGTGAGTTCTCATGAGATCCGGTTGTTTGAAAGTGTGTGGCACATCCCCCTTTTCTCTCTCTCTCCTGCGACAGTGTGAAGAAGGTCCTTGCTTCCCCTTCACCTTCTGCCATGATTCTAAGTTTCCTGACGCCTCCCAGCCGTGCTTCCTGTTAAGCCTGTGAAACTGTGAGTCAATCAAACCCTTTTCTTCATAAATTACCCAGTTTCAGGTAGCTCTTTATAGCAGTGTGAAAATGGACTAATACAGAAAATTGGTACCAGAGAGGTGGGGCATTCCTATAAAGATACCTGAAGATGTAGAAGCAATTTTGGAATTTGGGTAATGGGCAGAGGTTACAACAATTTGGAGGGCTCAGAAGATAGGAAGATGAGGGGAAGTTTGGAACTTCCTAGAGACTTGTTCAATGGTTTTGACCAAAATACTGATAGTGATGAATAGTGAAGTCCAGGCTGAGGTGGTCTCAGATGGAAATGAGGAACTTACTGGGAATTGGAGCAAAGGTCACTCTTGCTATGCTTTAGCAAAGAGACTGGTGGCATGGTGCCCCTGCTCTAGGGATCTGTGGAAAGAAATTTCTAGGCAGTAAAGTGTTCAAGATGTGATCTGGCTGCTTCTAACAGTGTATAGTCATATGTATTCATAAAGAGATGTTCTGAAATTGGAACTTACATTAAAAAGGGAAGCTGAATATAAAAGTTTGGAAACTTTGCAGCCTGACCATGTGGTACAAAAGAAAAAAAAACATATTTCTGAGGAGAATTCAAGCCAGCTGCAGAGATTTGCGTAAGTAAAGAGGAGCCAAATGTTAATAGCTGAGACAATGGGGAAAATGTCTCCAGGGCGTGTCAACGACCTTAGCTTCAGCCCCCCCCATCACAGGCCTGGAGGCCTAGGAAGGGAAAATGGTTTCCTGGGCCAGGTTCAGGGCCCCTCTGCTCTGTGCAGCCTTGGGACATGGCACCCTGTGTCCCAGCCACTCCAGCTCCAGCCATGGCTAAAAAGTGCCAAGGTGCAGTTTGGGCCATTGCTTCAGAGGGTGCAAGCCTCAAGCCTTGGTGGCTTCCATGTAGTGTCAGGCTTGTGGGTGCTCAGAAGGCAAGGGTTGAGGCTTGGGAACCTCTACCTAGATTTCAGAGGACGTATGGAAACACTGGATGTCCAAGTATTAGTTTGCTGCAGGGGCAGAACCCTCATGGAGAACCTCTACTAGGGCAGTGCAGAGGGGAAATGTGGGGTTGGAACCCACACACACAGTCTCCATTGGGACACTGCCTAGTGGAGCTGTGAGAAGGGGGCCACTGTCCTCCAGACCCCAGAATGGTAGATCCGCTAACAGCTTTCACTGTACACCTAGGAAAGATGTAGGCACTCAATGCTAGCCCATGAAAGCAGCCACGGTGGCTGTTCCCTGCAGAGCCACAGAGGTGGAGCTGCCCAAGGCTTTGGAATCCCATCCCTTTCATCAGTGTGACCTGGATGTGAGACATGGAGTCAAAGGTGATTATTTTGGAGCTTTAAGATTTAATGACTGCCCTGCTGGGTTTTGGACTTGCATGGGGCCTGTAGCCCCTTTGTTCTGGCTCATTTCTCTCTCTGCAATGGGAGCATTTACCCAATGCCTGTATCCCCATTGTATCTTGAAAGTAACTAACTTGTTTTTGATTTTACAGGCTCATGTGGAAGGGACTTACCTTGTCTCAGATGAGACTTTGGACTGTGGATTTTGAGTTAATGCTGGGATGAGTTAAGACTTTGGGGGACTGTTGGGAAGGCATGATTGGTTTTGAAATGTGAGAAGAACATGAGATTTGGGAGAGGCCAAGGGTGGAATGATATGGTTCGGCTCTATGTCCCCACCCAAATCTCATCTCAAATTGTAATCCTCACATGTTGTGGGAGGGGCCTGGTGGGACGTGATTGAATCATGGGGGTGGATTTCCCCCTTGCTGTTCTCTTGATAGTGAGTGAGTTCTTGCAAGATCTGGTTGTCTGAAAGTGTGTGACATGTCTCCCTTTGCTCTTTCTCCATCCTGCCACCATGTGAAGGAGGTCCTTACTTCCCCTTCACCTTCTGCCTTAATGTTAAGTTTCCTGAGGCCTTCCAGCCATGCTTTCTGTTAAGCCTGTGGGTCAATTAAACCTCTCTTCATAAATTACCCAGTCTCAGGTATTTCTTTATAGCAGTGTGAAAATGGGCTAATACAGAGCATATCCTAGGCTATAAAATAAACCTAAATAAACATAACATTTAAAAGAGTTGAAATTATACAGAGCATATTCTCTGATCATAATGGAATCGAGGTAGAAATCAATAACAGAATGATAACAGGAAGATCTCTAGATCGGTGGAAATTAAACAACATACTTCTAAATCCTAAGGTCAAAGAGAATGTCTCAAAAGAAATTAACAAAAACCTATAGAACTGAAGAAAAATGAAAACAGATATCAAGAACACCTGAGATGAAGTTAAAGCAGGGCTAAGTGAGAAATTATAGCCCTAAATGTTTACATTATAAATGAGGAAAGTTCTCAAATGAATAACCTACATTCCTACTTCAAGAAATTAGAAAAAGAATAGCAAAATAAACCCAAAGCAAGTATAACAAAGGAAATAAAGATAAGGGCAGAAATCAATGAAATGGAAAATAGGAAAACAATGGGGAAATTATGAAATAAAGAGCTGGTTTTTTGAAAAAAATCAATGACGTTGAAAAATATCTATGATCGAGACCATCCTGGCTAACACGGTGAAACCCCATCTCTACTAAAAATACAAAAAATTAGCCGAGCATGGTGGCAGGCTCCTGTAGTCCCAGCTACTTGGGAGGCTGAGGAAGGACAATCACTTGAACCTGGGAGGCGGAGGTTGCAGTGAGCAGAGATTGCGCCACTGCACTCCAGCCTGGGCAACAGAGTGAGATTTTGTCTCAAAAAAAAAAAAGAAAAAAAAAAGAAAAAAATCTCCATGAAAGTTGACAAAAATAAAAAGAATGAAGGCACCAATCACCAAATTTGGAATGAAACAGAGGATATCCCAACAGATCCTGCAGATATTGAAAAGATAACAAGGGAATACTATTAATAATTATATGCCCATCAATTTGAGAACTTGGAAGAAATAGATCATTTCCTTGAAAATGACAAACTACCAAAACTCAACCAAGGTAAAATACAGTAGTCACTCCTTATCTGTGGTTTTGTTTTCTGCTGTTTCAGTCAACTGTGGCTCAAAAATGTTAAATGGAAAACTGCGGAAATAAACAATCTATAAAATTTAGATTGTGTGTCATTCTGAGTAGCATGATGAAATCTCTTACTGTCCTGCTCTTTGCATCCAGGATGTGAATTCTCCCTTTGTCCGGTGTCTTGATGAGTTGCACCACCACCTGTTGGTCATTTAGTAGCTGTTTTCTCAGATTGACTTTCGTGTTATTATAGTACTTGTGTTCCAGTTACCCTTATTTTACTTAATAATGGCCCCAGAGTGCAACAGTGGTGATTTGAATATGCCAAAGAGAAGCCATAAAGTGCTTCCTTTAAAAATGAAATTAAAAAATGAAAGTTCTCAACTTAATAAAGGGAAAAAATAATATACTGGGGCTGCTACAGTAAAAATGAATCTTCTATCCTTGAAATGGTGAAGAATGAAAAAGAAACTCATGCATAGTATAGATAGGTAGATAGGGTTCAGTACTATCCTAGGTTTCAGACATCCACTGGGGGACTTGGAACGCATCCCCTGCAGATAAAGAGGAAACACTGTAAATAATCCGAATATCCCTATAACCATTAACAACTTCTAATTGAATTTGTAATTAAATCATCCTGAAAAAGAAATGTCTGGGCCCAGATAGTTTCACTGCATCTGTGGGGGGTCCCCAAGACAATCACCAGGTTCAGTGATTCACTAGGAGGGCTCCCAGGGTCCTGCATGTTGCCTCATGCATGTCTGAGATTTATTAACGGTGCAAAGATACAGGGTGGGGTTGGCAAAGGGAAAGGCACGCTGGACAAAGTCTGGGAGACACAAGGTGCAGGTGTTTGAGTCACCTCCCAGTGGAGTCAAACAGGACATTCTGAGTTTCTCCAGCAACGAGCTGCACCAGTATGTGTGAAGAGTTGCCTGTCAGGGAAGCTCACCTGAGCCTTGGGTTCGAGGGTTTTTCCTAACCATTGGGCATGTAGGGCCCGTAGTGCCTGTGTGACTGACTGACATCACTGACACTCCAGACACTCACAAGGAAAGCAGTAGTTCAGCATAATCACATTATGCTAGCAGTCTAGGTACAATGAGTCACTCTTATCATTTAGGGAAAGTGTTACATCACCATAGGGAACTACCTTTCCAGCCACATTCTCTCATACCAGCCAAGGGTAAACCTTGCAAGAGACCCTTTGTAAGGACGGCAGTTCCAGATCTGCTATGCTATTTTCTCTACACTGAAGAACTTTACAAACCAACTAAAGAATTAACACCTATTTTACATAATCTCTTCCAGAAAACAGAAGAGAAGGGAATACTTCCCAACTCATCTTTTGAGGCCAGTATTAACTGATACCCAAACCAGACAGTCAATACAAAAAGAAACTACAAAGCAATATTTCTCATAAACTTAGATGTGAAAATCCTCAACAAAGTATTAGGAAACTGAACCCAATGATGTATAAAAGGAATTAAATGCCATGACCAAGGTGGGGTTCATTTCAGGTGTGTGAAGCTGTTTCAATATTTGAGAGTCAATCAATGTAATCTATTCTATTATAATCAAAAATCATACAATCATATCAATTCATATAGAAAAAGCATTTGACAAATCCCAGCTCTTAGCAAGTTGATAAAAACTCTTAGCAAGTTAGGAATAAAGTTGAAGTATTTCAACTTGATAAAGAGAATCTATGAAAAACCTATGGCTAACATCATACTTTCTAAGATCAGGAAAAGGTCGAGTGTCTGCTTTTATTTATCTTATTCAACATAATGGTGAGAGTTCTAGCCACTGAAATGAGATAAGAAAATGAAGGATAAGGAGTAAAAATGGAAAAGATGAAACTGTCTTTAATTGCAGCTGGCATAATTGTCTATGTAGAAAATCTCAGGGAATCTACAAGAACCAAACTCCTAAGATGAATAAGTGAGTTCAGGCCATGGGATGGAAGATAACACAAAAATTAATCAATTTTCTATATACTAGCAATGAACACTTACAAACTGAACTTAAAAGCAATACCATTTACAATCGTTCTGAAGAAAATGAAATGCTAGGTATAAATGTAACAAAATACAGGATCTGTAGGCTGAAAAATAGAACACACTGATGAAAAAAAGCAAAGAAGTTCATGGACTGAAAAGTTAAGCATGGTAAGATGTTAATTCTACCTAAATTGATCTGTAGTTTTAATAGAATCCCTGTCAAATTCAGCAAGATAATTTTTTAATAGAAACAAACAAGCTTATTCTAAAATGCGTATGGAAAAACAGACTCCAGAATAGGTAAAACAATCTTGACAACAATACAGAGGAGGACTCAGTCTGTCTGATAGTGTTACTGTATAGCTATGGTAATTACGACTGTGCTATTGGTGGAAGAACAGACATATTGATTAAAGGAGCAGGACAGAAAACCTGGAAATAGATCCACACAAATCTGCCCAAGTGGTTTTTGACAAAGGTACAAGAGCAATTTACTGAAGAAAGGATAGCTTTTCAGTAAATGGTGCTGGAGCAATTGGACATCAGTAGATAAAAATAAACTTTGACCTAAGGCTCACACCTTATGTGAACATTCTCACAATGGATCATGGTCTTAGAGGTAAATGTAAAACTACAAAATTTTCAGAAAAAAAATCAGATAAAATTTTCAGTACTTGAGCTTGCTACCACAAGCACAATCCATGGATGGAAAAATTGACACACTAGACCTCATCAAAACAGAAAACTTGCTCTATGAAAGTCCATGTGAAGAGGATGAAAAAGACAAGCTGTAGACAAAAAATTTGCAAACCACATATCTAACGAAGTGTTAGTATCCAAACATAAAGAACTCACAAAACTCAACAGTGAAACATCAATTTAGTTAGAAAATGTGCACAGACATGAAGAGATATTTCACAGAGAAAATACACTTAGAAAGTAAGGATACGGACATGTTCAACGTCATTCGCCATCAGTGCTAAAAACATCACCCAAATGTTCAATAGCAGTTTTGCTTAACCGTCAAATCTTGAATCAGCCCAGATAGACTTTGACAGGTGAATGGTTAAATGCGCTGAAGTGCATGCAAGCACAAAGGAATGAATTATCGATGCATGAATCAACTTGTACGAACTTGGATGACTCTGCAGGGAGTTATGGGGAGTAAAAAGGTAATCCTGAAAAGTAACAGCCTATATTATGCCATTTTTATAATAGTTTTGAAATGATGAAATTTTAGAAGTGGAGGAGAAATTGGTGTGTGCCAGAGGCTTGGGTTAGGGTGAAGACGTGGGAGGGAGGGGTTGTGGTTATGAAAGGGCAGCTTCGGGGATCCTTGTGGAGGTGGAAGTGTTCAGTATCCTGACTGGTGCCAGATGCGTGAATCCACAGATGATAAAAATGTATGGAACTATACATACCCCCCACACACACGAGTAACAGTAAAACTAGGGAAATCTAAATCTGATTAGTAGATTGTATCTTGGTTGTCATAGTTTTGAAAAATGTTACTTTGGAGGAAGCTGCATAAAGCGCATATGAGACTCTTGGTTATTGACTAATAATCCATAAAGCAAGTAAGTATTGATTAGTAACAATCTCTATTGATTTCTTTCTTATGGTTATTGACTAATAATCCGTAAAGCAAGTAAGTATTGATTAGTAACACTCTCTATTGATTTCTTTGTTATAAACGTATGTGGATCTACAATTATCTCAATAAAATTTTTAATTAAAAAGCAAGAACACCCAGCCTTTCCTACTGAAATGTTGTATTTGGGTAACTCTAACAAGATTCCTGCTTCTGCAAGGACAGACGATGCCCTAAACCCTGCGTTTGGGGGTAGAGGATCTTTCCAGTGCCTTCCATGAGGGGTTTAGCCACAGGGTGCCCCTGTGGCCGTGCCGCCGATCCCAGTCGGGCACTCCTGGCCAAAGTTAAATTTCTTTTCTTTCCAGAAGTTAATGAACGAAAAACAGTTTCTCCTCGCTTGACATCTGTGACATCGTTATTGTATTCCAAATCTTTATGGAAGAAAGTAAGCAGTTTGATAAGTTGTGTGGAATATACCAGAAAACATGAGGGACTGAGCCCCCTGGCTCAGGCAGATGTTAGTAGGGGGCCCTCTAGTGGCTCCCTGGCTGGTCTGCAGCTTCCCACAAGGCTCCTGGAATTAGAGCCACCTGTGGGAGAGCCAGATAAGGAGAAATTGAGAGACCTTTTCATGGCAGCTCCCACTTGAGCCCACATGTAGAGGTAGTAGGCTGGAGCAACCAGGGTGATTCAAAGGGCAGGTTTCTTTGGCTTAGTTCGTCCACAGCACCTGGGATCTGTGTGAACTGCTGCAGCACTGGTCTGACTGGGCACACACAGACCCTGGGGTACTGGGATAATTTTCCACAGTTAGGCAACATGGTAGAAATCAGAATAAATGAAATAGTGCTGTTGCAGATTAGAGCTATCTACTTCACCCAGTTCACTGTGGCAATCCTTCTAACTTTGGAGAAGAACATCTGATGAAATACACTGACGTTCTTGAGCAATATATTTATTGGCCATATGGCAGAGCTTACTGTTGTTGGAAATAATGCATTGCAAAGGACCGAGGAAGGGGCAGATGGGATGGAGGGGGGAAACCTGCTTTAGTACATAGGGCAAATAAAGGATCTGGCCCAGAAAAGAACTCTTATTATTTTCTGTTTCGGACAATCATCCAAATGCCTCTGAAGGCACAATTCTCCCTTTACCTATTTTGGTACATTCTGGGACAGTCATCCCAGGATGCTATTTTGGCCATAGAAAGCCAGATGGACCTGCCAGAGCACAGAGAGGTGGCGATGTTAGAAGGGAGACTATGAGTCACTCAAAGTTTCCTCAGGAACAGTTAGGAGTGCTCACAGAGAGGAACCCCCAGAACTGGTGTTTTCTAACAGCATGGGAGTAGCCGGCTGCGTCCGTGTGTGGGCTGGAGTCTGGAGTTATTCTGCTGAATGAATCATGATTTGTGCACTATAAGTTTGAAGCTCAGACCAAATAGTTCATGAACTTTAATGCAAAAGTATTGTGGAATTACATTTTTCAGGGAAGCACTCAGTGGGAACCATGTTCTACCAAGAGCAAGGATTGTGTGGAAGCTTAAAGAGCATGAGCCTTGGTCTCTGTCACCAGAATCTTACAGTGTTAGTTGCAGGGGGGTCATGTACAAAAAAAGAGTCAACTCTAGATTTAGGGGAGTAGAGAGGCATGTTTTGTAGTGGGAGACAAATTTGTTAAGCTGAGAAGAGAGAAAAGAGCCATTCAGATGGGTAATGTCTTGAGCAAAGGTGCAAAGGCAGTAACAGCATTGGCTACAAGTGACAAGCCCGGCATGGTGGCTTATCCTGATTGGAGGATTATTTTTCTCTCATAAGCCAGCATCTTGAGGTAGGAAACCCAGGATTGGTATAGTGGCTCCATGATGCCATCGGGGCACTAGTCTCCTTTTACCTTTCTGCTCATCCCTCCTAGGTATGAGGCTTTCGTCCTAAAAGTGTATAGCCTCATGTTCACAAAAGGGCCAGTAACCCCAGCCTAGCAGGGGAGCCTCCATTCCATGCTAGAAGAAGCAGGGCACAACGGGCCAAGGCACAGACCAGTGGAGTCTGCCCCCTTTTAGAAAGCCTCTGTAGAGAGAAGCATCACCTGGAGACTTCTCGCAGAGATGTGCTGCGTGGTCTTCCCCACCCACACAAGCTGAAAGGACTAGATGCGCGCATTACCACCAGAACAAAATAGAGGCTCTGCTGCTACAGAGGATGCAGAGATTGGGCAGCGAGCAGGCACAGGCAGGAAAGGGCAAGGCAGGTTTGGGCAGGGGGCGGATGTCTCTACAACAGTTTCTGTGTGGTACAGTTAATTGTTTACCATCCTCTTGCAGATTTCTTTTTATTACAGCAAGAAACTGGTACATAACATACGGGTTACATTTTATTGATCAGAAGCTTTGGATGGCTACTGCTGTACCCTTTCCACTTTCCCCAATCAGCTATGGCCCCTCTTGGCTGGAATGCACCCTCAAATATTTGCAATTTGCACCAGCTTGGGTGCTGTCCTTCACAGTCTCATGAACTTTGGGCAAAGGCCCTGATTGTATCTCAGCTGAGTCTGACAGGTCTTGGTTTATTGACGCTCAGACCTCAGCTCACTGCAATATTTTCCACTGCTTCAAGTACTTCTGGGAGGTGGTGGGAGCATTTTCAAATGTGCTTATGAATAAAATTATTTCAATAATCTGTACACTGCCACGATGGGCTGCAGCCTCCATGCTGTGCTTCCCAGCAGCCAGCACATTGCAACCCAGCCTTGCACTGCTGTGTGCAGTAGCTCTTTCTGCCTCCATGGTGGCCAACCCAAAACTTGAGCCGCCAGAGTTTCATGGATGTCACTGTCTACACTTCTGCTCCACAGTGGTAGTGATGATGCAGCTCTCTTTCAGTCTTATTTACATCCCTGTTGTCCAGGACTCAGACCTGTATCCAGTTAATTATATTGGAGACGATTTAACCATGAATCACAATTTCTCTCTGATGCCCAAGGTTATTATTATGAACTCAATATCAGTGAACCTGGTTCCTTCCCCACTTAGCTTTCTTCTGAGAAATCCTTCAGTGATTCTGGAATGTAGACCTCAACCTCTGCAGTGTGTAGTGGAAGGTTTTTGGATCACGCTAACATCTCTGTTGTACAGGAAAGCGAAATCATTTCGAGTTAACCTATTCTCTTCCTCAGTAACTATTTTTAGTTGGTTCCAGGTACTCATCCTCATATTAGGCACATGAAGAGGATACTAACATAAGTAAATGTGATCATTGGCCTCAAAAAGCTAAGAGATTAGGGTCATTGTCCTCTCTACTTGTTCTTTTCTATGTCTTCTTTGCGTCTAATTTGTTCCTTTCCCTGCGACTATAGGGAAATATATTGTTGAATTTGGAAGCTTCTTAGTTACCACAAAGCAGCCCCCTTTCAACTTCTCCATGCTTGAAAATGTGGGGTCAGTCATGTCTCCACTCTTTTCTCAAACCCTCCTCTCTCATCCGTCTTCAGATCCTTTTGAGTTTTCCTTTGGACTTTCTCCTGCTCTTCCAAACCCCAAGCCACTACCCCCATTCTTAATTTCATTGTTGAATTGTTGCCTTAAATCCTGTCTGGCCTTCTTTCTCCACCTCTATAACCTTTCTCTTTCCCAGATCATTTTATATAAAGCTCTACACAATTCTCTTAAATGGTTCTCATCTGGACTTCAAGGCCCCTCCCTAATTTCTCCCTACCGCAGTTTGTTTGTTTGTTTGTTTATTTTTGAGACAGAGTCTTGCGCTGTCACCCAGGCTGTAGTGCAGTGGCACAATCTCAGCTCACTGCAACCTCCACCTCCCGGGTTCAAGTGATTCTCCTGCCTCACCCGGTTAAATTTTTTCTGTATTTTTAGTAGAGACAGGGTTTCTCCATGTTGGTCAGGCTGGTCTCGAATTCCTGGCCTCAAGTGATCCACCTGCCTCAGCCTCCCAAAGTGCTGGGATTACAGGTGTGAGCCACCTCGCCCAGCGGTTTGTTTTTTGTTTTGTTTTTTTTTTTTTGAGACAGAGTCTTCCTCTGTCACCCAGGCTGGAGTGCAGTGGTGCGATCTCGGCTCACTGCAACCTCCACCTCCTGGGTTCAAGCGATTCTCTGCCTCACCCTCCTGAGTAGCTGGGATTACAGGTGCGCACCACCACGCCTGGCTAACTTTTGTATTTTTAGTACAGTTGGAGTTTTGCCATGTTGGCCAGGCTGGTCTCAAACTCCTGACCTCAGGTGATCCAACCACCTCGGCCTCCCAAATTGTTGGGATTACAGGCATGAGCCACTGTGCCTGGCCTTCATTTTTTAAATTCCTCTTGCTCCATCCATGCCCATTCTTGCCTTTGGCATATTTCAGGCCCTTCCCTTTGCTGTCCTGTGTGTCCATATTTTCATATGCTGTCCATTCTCTTCTCTTTCTACTAAAACTTGTCCTTTGACTCCTACTAAGCCCAGCTTGGAACACCATTCCCATGACTTCTCCTGCCTAGTAACTTCTCCAGTCCCCTTTCTTCCTTGACCTCAGCACAAGAATGACATTTGAAGAATATTATTGTGTATGTGTTAAGCTGTGACTTTTTTTTTTTTTTTTTTTGAGACGGAGTCTGGCTCTGTCGCCCAGGCTGGAATGCAGTGGCACGATCTCAGCTCACTGCAAGCTCCACCTCCTGGGTTCATGCCCTAAGCTGTGACTTTTGCAGATATGTTTAGCTTTGCTTGCCCATGGCTGTTCTTTCCTGCATAGGAGAAATTAAATGTATTTCCCATTCATTTTCTGTCTCATGCTGTACTTGGCACAGTACATCGACCTCAGCAGCCTTCCGATTATTATTGATTGACTGAATGAAAGGTCTGACACAGTCTAAACAGCCTAACCCCTTTCATTCTGTTTCCTCTGTGAGTTATTTCTGTTAGTGAAAACATAATGGCTATTTCGTTGTGGGTTCACCTCCCTTGAAGAATTAACTTCACACGGAGAAAAGATTTGTTACGTGACCACGCAGGATACCTCCCTCTCTGTTATGGATTGTTTGCATCCCCCCAGCTTGAAATCCGTATGTTGAAATCCTCACCCCCAATATGATGGCCTTAGGAGGAGAGGCCTTTGGGAGGTAAATAGGGTGGAGCTTTCGTGAATGGGATTAGTGTCCCTATAAAAGGAACCCCGGAAACCTCTCGCCCTCTTTTGGCTATGTGAGGGAACTAGGAGAAGTTGGTCATCTGCAACCCACAAGAGAGCCCTACCCAGAACCCAACCATGCTGGCATCCTGACTTCAGACTTCCACACCCCAGAACTGTGAGAAATAAGTTTCTGTTGTTCATGGCAACTACTTTAGGGTTCTTTGTTAAACTAGCCTGAACTAAGACACCCTGTTCACAATCGCCTTAAAGTAAATGTTCTTAACAGCCCAGGGTAACAGAGTGGGTAGAACTCAGCAAAACCCATTGCTCTTATTAGAATCATGGCCTACATATGCTTGGCGATGGGTTTATGATGGTGAATTAGTAAAGGGATTTCCATAAATAGCACATACTAAAATGACACACTATAAGCAAAACAACACAAGGAAATGTGTCAGGATAGGATGCCTTATATTTTAGTAACACACATGCCCAAATCTCAAGGCTTTAAAGCAATAACCATTTATTTTTCAACCACCCAAAGTTCAGTGAATGATGGGTGACTCCTAGTGTAACCTTCCCCCATGTGGTACCTCAACAATTCAAGGTGCTGTCACCACCTCGTGATTCTCCTCAACATAGGAGACTCTCGTCTCAACAATCACCGTGGCTCTGGGGACAGAGCTGAAAAGTTGGGCACTGGCTCTAAAATGCTTTAGCTCAGAATGGACACACATCACTTCGCTCACTGTGTGTTGCCTAGGATAAGTCACATGGCCCTACTCAACTGCAGGAGGTGAGGCATTTGGTGAGCAGTAAGTTCTCTGTTGAGATACCATTTAGCTTCAAAGAGTTAACACAGATTTCAGCGTCACCTAACTACCAATCGTGGCATGGCTGACAGATTGAAATGACACCATCCATGTATCCTTTCAAAACAGTGTTGGTAACCACAACTGCTCACCCAAAGAATAAGTGGACTTAAATTTATGGTAAAGAAAATGGCTAAAGATGATCGCAGTTAGCTTCTTGCTCAGTCAACTCTTCCTTCCATAAATAAATCATACCGCTCAGTGCTGTCAAGCTTTGCTTTACCCTGACAGTAATGACATGTTCTTTTCATTACTATAAATTTGGGTATATAATCAATGTTTTATGAGAAGTGGAAGATTTTAGGGAGTGAGAGTTTTTCTCATTTATGAAGTAAAAAGTTTCTTGAATTTTATATACAATAATTTGTAGAAACATTTGTATTGTATATAAGTTTATATTTATTGAATGTGAGGCATAGGTTTACATGTACATCATTAAAAGCAATTATATAACTCCCTACGTTTTAAAACCTCAAACTGTAGAGCCCTGTCTCCTGCCTCCTTCCAGATCCTCACTCCCTGTTTTAACTGGTCAGCTGTTTTCTTTAGGATACACTTGCAAACATTAAAAGCAAAAAAACACCTAAGCTGTGATTTCTTGATTCTCTCCCAGCTAGGTGTGAACTAATGTGTTGACTTCCTAGATCTCAACTTGCCCTACCTCCCGCACATACCCTCTCCTACTTGACCCATCACCCCAATAAAATTATACTTAATAGCTGGTAAACGAATATTCAGAATTAATATTATTATGACCGTAGAAACATTGTTCACAACACAACCAAGTGGTGTACTGTGATTGTTTCCTTATTTGTAAGACTTTTGTTTTCCCAGAGTTTATAATTGACTTTTTTCCATTTTTATTGCTCTCTTAGTTTGTATCATTATCAATAATTCATTCCCATTTTCCCAGATGCTTTCCTCTCAGTACATTCAGCTCCATTTACCCATTTCATCTTTTAGGAGAGATTCTTTAGAAGGCTTTTGTGGCTTGCCCTACTACCCTCTCCTTTTTACCATCAGGGCTGGAAGATTGCAAACTGCATTTAACAAACCCTCTTCCCACCTGGGTTCCGGTTAGGTCCGCCACCTGGAGGAATTCCCAGCAATTAGAAAGTCTAGAAGATAGAAACCATTATTTTTCTGGTAGGCCCTCTCTTAGCAAATGTCAGTGACTCCCGCTCAGCATAGAAGGTGACTGTTGGCTCCTGCGACCGTGCCAGTGTGTCTTCACTAACAACAGCAGCTATAGGCTCCTGCCTGGGTTGCCAGCACATGACTGCAAAGCCTTGGAGCTGCCGAGCAACAGTGCAGGGACCGGGTTGTATGGGCTCACCTGAGCACTGGATCCTGTAAAAGAGGTAGCAGCTTTCTGCAGTTCAGGATTTCTGGAAACACCACATTTTCCTTGTTTTTCCAGTTTTAATAAGAATTTGGTAACCAGATTTCCTATATGAAATCTCTTCCGCTTTGAAATACCTACAGTGGTGTCTGCTTTCTTCTTTGGAAATGGATGAATCCAGCCATGGCCAGGCCTGCTGCCCTGACACCTTGTCATGGAAGAGCAAGAAATAAAACCTACAAATCACTAGGTTGGTGACTGGTTCCATAATAAATCTCTTTTAGACCAGGATTCTTGGATCACAATACAACGGGAGCCACATTTTAAAAATGTTCTAGTAGCCACATTTTTAAAAAGCAAAAAGAAACTGGTAAACTTAATTTTAATAAAACGTTATTTAACCAAGTAAATCCAAAACATCACTGCAACATGTATTCAACATAATGCAATGATTAATGACGTACTTGACATTGTTTTTTATGTGAAATCTGATGTGTAGTTTACACTGGCAGCACAACTGCATCAAATGAGCCAGATCTAGGTCTGAACAGTCACATGTGGTAAGGCTTCTGTAGAACATGGCTTTAAATCCTCAGGGCTGACAGGGCATCCTCGCCTTCCACCCACTTTAAAACAGCCTGCAAGGCAGTGTGTGACCTATGGCTTTAACTCTGATGAGGAGGATTCCTCATGGCATGGGTTGCTGAGAACCCTGAATCACAAGGTATAAAGCAGGGACCGAAGGACTGTGCCCACTGCAGCAACCCCCCGCTGGGTTTAATGCTCTCCTGTTGCCACCCTGAAATTTTTAAAGACTTTTTACGGGGTCTTGCTCTGTCATCTAGGCTGGAGTGCAGTGACATGATGTCTTATACCTCATCTGGCTGAGACTCACTAGAGAAGGTCACTAGTTAGAACTAGAGAAGGGGCTGGGCACAGTGGCTCAGGCCAGCACTTTGGGAGGCTGAGGCAGGAGGATTGTTTTGAGACCAGGCTGGGCAACACAGTGAGACATTTTCTCTACAAGATAAAAATTAAAAAAATTATCTGGGCGTGGTGACACGTCCCTGTAGTCTCAGTTATTCAGGAGGCTGAGGTGGTAGGATCGTTGAAGTCCAGGAGTTCAAGGCTGCAATGAGCTAGAATTGAACAGAGTGAGACCCTGTTTCTAAAAAAAATTAATAAAGAACTAGAAAAGGTTCACTGCAGCCTTAACTCGTGGGCTCAAACAATCCTTCCCAGTAGCTGAGACTACAGACATGAGCCACCATGCCCGGCTAATTTTTTTTTTTTTTTTTTTTTTTTTTAGAGACAGGGTCTCACTATGTTGCCCAGGCTGGTCTTGAACTCCTGGACTTAAGCCATCCTCCCGCCTCAAGCCAGTCTCCCAAGTAGCTGGAATTACAGGTGCATTGCACTGACCCCAGCTTCTTCAAGATAGAGTCTCCCTCTGTCACCAGACTGGAGTGCAGTGGTGCGATCTCAGCTCACTGCAACCTCTGCCTCCTGGGTTCAAGTGAATCGCCTGCCTCAGCCTCTGGAGTAGCTGGGACTACAGGCGCATCCTACCACGCCCAGCTCATTTTTTGTATTTTTAATAGAGACGGTGTTTCATCATGTTGGCCAGGATGGTCTCGATCTCTTGACCTTGTGATCCATCCGCCTCGGCCTCCCAAAGTGCTGGAATTACAGGTGTGAGCCACCACGCCCAGCCAAAATTCTTAGAGAACTCCACATCATCATTTTTCACTGAGTCTCTCAAATTACGTAGCTGACTTGGCCTCTTGGGCTAATGTTGTAGTTTTCCTTCTTTCTAAAAATTGCCCTTTTGCCTTTTTATTGTACTTTCTGGAAGGCTTCACTAAATTTCTATTCTAACTCTTCTCTTGAAACTTTCATTGTTGCTATCATATTTTTTAATTTCTAATAGGATTTTTCCACCTCCTGAATATTCCTTTTCTTGTGGCATCCTTTTTTCATGTGTGCAATATTTTTTATTCATTCTTCTGAGAATGTTAATGATAGTTTCTTGAAGTTTCCTTTTGCTTCTATTTTGAGTTTTTTTTTCCTGCTTTGTTTGGGCTTCATATTTTATGTTAGAGATAAAAGCAGATGCATTTGGTTTGGAAAGACAAAGGATTTTTCCCTGTTGAAGTAACGTAGAATGAAAAAATAAGGTGATACAAACATTTTAAGGGCAAAAGAGGCAACATTGAGGAAACTCACATGAGGCCAACTTCAACTCTGTAAAGTAGAAGTTGTTTCTCAAATTGTGAGATACTGTAAGGGCAAGAGCTAAAAATTGGAAGGAAACATTTGGAATATCTGCAATGCAGGAATCAACAAATGCTGAAAACTGAGTTGCAGTGAGGGCTCATCTGAAGTCCCACAGCCTAAATTTGCAGCTGGTCCAATTGGCATAGTTTGGTGACATTCTCTAGTTAGTCTTGGCCAGATGGGGTAAAGACAGAAAAGCAACTGCAGGGTGCTGGGCAAGTCAAGGTAAGAGGCAAAGAGTAGAGAGACAGCTGAGGGGTCCGAGGTGCTGGAGCGCCCTGGCGGGAGGCCAGCCACAGGCTGCGGTAGTAAGGGAATAAAAGGACGTCTGAGGGACAGAGGGGCAACTCTGGTGAGGATCAGTGTCCCGGGAATTTTTCAGGCAGTGTGGAGTCTGCTTTCAGTCCTGAAGGAATGCATGAGCTGGTGGAGGCCATGACAGCATAGGAATGTAAAACAGTTCCACATCCTCTTGGAATCAAGAGGCATGCATTCACATCCTGTCTTGGTGGGACCTGGTAAAGTCAGGTAGTCAGGCTGGGAGTCAAAGAGATTGGATTTTTTATGTCCTATGTCTCCCTAGCTTCAAATCCACCCTCTCTAGAATAGATTGCAAAAAGGGGAATTTCCATTACAGCATATAGCATTCGTCCTATGAAGAAACCCCCTCGCTCAGTGACTTACACGAAAAACTGGGGTATAAAACACCCATAACATCTGGCCTGCTGCAGAGCTGGCTTCAGGAACAATTGTGGACCATTACATCACTCTCTCCGGTCTGCAGGCATTGGCGGGTACATGCGGATCATAACCACCAGATGGCGCTGTTGGCCTAAGCTCGAGCACAGTCCACAGCCTGGAGGTCCTGGGAAAGCCTGACCTGAATCTAAAACTTCTCTAAACTCCCTAATTTGATTCAAAAGCAAAACAGTAGAATACTTCTGCACATCCCAGCGAGGTCAGAGTATAGCATCTGCGTGGCCCGTAGGCAAGTCATCGGTGGTTATTTAAAGCCCGAGTTTAAGAAAATGACTTCACAATGCAGAGAAACTGGGGAGCCGGCGCTGGTCCCTCAGTCCCCGACATGGAACGCTCCTGCACCCGCAGCGGAGTGGCTGGCAGCGCCGCATGGAGGTGGCGAGCTCCAGGTCTCACGCAGCGTCTGTCTGTGCAGTGCCCAGATGGCAGGGGCTGTAGAGGCCTCTAGAAACCTGCGGCTCGGCTGCATTTCTCCAACCTGCCATCCGCCCTCACCACCCCAGCTCCAGGCCGCCGCACTTGCTGGCTCTGGCCACCGCCAAAGCCCTAGGGACGGTGCACTCTGGCTGCGCGGTGGCCGCGGGAGCCGGTGGCAAGGGACTAGGTCCTAGGGGGAGAGACTTATTTAGTCTCGCAGGGCCGGCCTCTTTGCATACTCTAGGGGCCCCGGGAGCTCAGCGTGTGCTTCCCACGGTTGTTTTCGAGAATAATGTGGCTTTCAGCCAGGCCAAGCCCCTCGCGGCTGGGCGGTGCGTGAGTTCCCAGGTGCGCGCTTCAGGATCGGAGGCGCCCGCCGGAGCAGGGCGTGCTGGATTCCAACAGTACGTGCTAAGCACAAAGGCCTGAGCCCGAGTGCCGGGGCCTCCATCTCGGTGGACTCCAGTCTCGTGGCCCACTTCCCACGTGCGCCCGGCTCAGGCGCGCGGCTCTCCCGGCGGGCGGGTGCACGGCCTCCCCTCCGCGGCTGCGGCTGCGGTTGCGGTGGCTTCACTGCGGCTGGTTCCTGCCAGGTCATCTGCTTTGCGCCCATCTAGGCCGCGGACAGGCGGAGGCTGATTAATTTTTCATGGCGATTCACCCGGCTGTTCATCCGAAGGCAGCTTCTGGGGCGGGAGCTGTTAAGGACCCGACTGTGCCAGGGGCTGCTCTTCCTCCGGCCGCACTAATTACTGACCTGGGAGGGAGACTCGGGTTTTTCTCCCCAGTGAGCTGTTTTTTTGCCTTTTGGCGTCTTTTGATTTCCCAAGCAAAGCTGGGGGCTGGGAATTCAAGGATGAGGGCCAGGAAAGGCTGAGGGAGGAAGGGCGCCTGTTCAGTTTAATCTTATTTGTGGAAAGCCCCCCCACCCCCAGCTCAGCCTGGAGAAGGAGCTTGGGGATGGTCACATCCTTGTCCCAGGAGCTCGCGGGCTCCTGGGGAGATGGGACTCGCAGAGTGGGGGTGAAAGAGTTGATTGACAGTGTGGGAATGTATGTACCAAGGGCCAGTGTAGTGGGACCCAGTGTAGAGGAGTCGGGGCTCCAAGAACGAGCCAGTGGAGTGAGCGAGGAAAGGTAGTGAAGGAAAATGAAACGAACCGCCGGGTGCGGTGGCTCACGCCTGTAATCCCAACACTTTGGGAGGCTGAGGCGGGTGGATCATTTGAGCTCAGGAGCTGGAGACCAGCCTGGCCAAGGTGGTGAGACCTCATCTCTACTAAAAATACAAGAAGTAGCCGGGCGTGGTTTTGGAGTGGGGGAGGACACTGGGCTCCCAGGGGAACCTGGTGTGAATGTTCCAGGTGTGCTCCTTAACCACCCACACACAGGTGGGCCATATTTCTGGGACTGGTGTTTTAAAGTTTCCCCTTCCCTCCTCCATTACATAAAAATTTGAAAATTTACAGATATGTATAGAGAAATCGCTATGCAGAGGAAAACACTGGGATTTTTGTGTGTGTGTGTGGAGGGAGGGGAGTTCTATCCAGGTGTTTTCCATGTGGATAATTTTTACCTAATTGTATGTTATACATGTACGGCGTACGTAGTGTTATGTTAAACATTGTGTGTTTAGGCATTTAGAAAATATGATTTTTCATTATGAAACTAGTAGATGTTCTTCTCAATTTTTGGAAAATAAGGAAATATATGAAAACAAAAATTAAATATTACCCGGATTCTAAATACATAATAATCCTTTTGGTATGTTTCCTTAAACTATTTTTTTCCTGTGGGTGTTTAATTTAGTTGAGACCATATGCTATTTGCTAATTTCTAAACATGGTCAGTATAGAAACATCGTTAGATAGAAGGCTAAATGAGAGAGGTTTCTTCTTTTTTTTTTTTTGAGACAGTCTCACTCTGTCACCCAGGCTGGAGTGCAATGGTGCGATCTGGGCTCACTGCAACCTCTGCCCCTCCGCCTCCTGGGTTCAAGCAATTCTTCTGCCCCTGCCTCCTGAGTAGCTGGGATTACAGGTGCCCACCACCACGCCTGGCTAATTTTTGTATTTTTAGTAGAGACGGGGTTTCACCATGTTGGTCAGGCTGGTCTCGAACTCCTGACCTCGTGATCTGCCCATCTCAGCCTCCTGAGAGAGGTTTCTTAATCTCAGTGCTTCCCAGGGCTCCATGACACAATGTCTCCCTCTGCACCACTTCACCCCAACACTTGTGGAAGAGCCAGGGAGGGCTTGGAAGAAACACTCTAAAACCACCTCCCAAACCCCTCCTCACAAATAATCCCTGCACCCAGCTGCCCACTGGCCCCTGCCCTCTGGTTGTGGCAAGGGCTTGGGAGCTGTGGGATCCCTTCTCAGCCACCTCTGCAGAACATCCGTGCAGACATTGTTTTGTATATGATCTCAGTCTTTTTAGTGTATTGTTTGAAACGTTAATTTAATTAATGTCCAATTAATTTAATTTAATTTTCACAAAGGAACAAAGGTAGGGCCCACATTGGAGTTATCCTCTGAATCATCGAGTGCAAAAAGAATATGGCTGGCTGGGCTCAGTGGCTCATGCCTGTAATCCCAGCACTTTGGGAGGATCACCTGAGGTCAGGAGTTCGAGACCAGCCTGGCCAACATGGTGAAACCCCGTCTCTACTAAAAATAAAAATACAAAATTAGCTGGTGTATGCCTGTAATCCTAGCTACTTGCGAGGCTGAGGCAGGAGAATTGCTTGAACCTGAAAGGCACAGGTTGCTGTGAGCTGAGATGGCGCCATTGCACTCCAGCCTGGGCAACAAGAGCAAAACTCTGTCTCCGGGGGGGAAAAAAAAAAGAATATGGAACCACATCTACAGAATTTTGAGGATAAAGTGTTTGTGAACCAAACATTTTTGTTCTATGTCAAATTATCTTTCACATTTAAAGCGAAGAGAAAACATGTTCATTATATAAGAAAAATGCCACCTAGTACATTTTTTGAAAAAAACAAAAACAAAAACAAAACCTCAAAAAACTTAAAGGGGATTTCCATTTCTGGCTGTGAGGGAGTATTTTGTACCAGAATAACCCTCCTGCTGAAGAACTGTGAAAACCAAACCAAATAAAATGTAATAGAGTAGTCTGAGAACATCAAAGAGCAGCCAAGGTTGCTGGAATCCAAGGGCCAAGATGTTCGAAAGGAGACAAGTGCATTGAAGTCAGTTCTTTCTTTGCAGCTGTTTTTGTCCCCCGGGAGCATTCGCTGATTCAGGTCCTGTCATGGGGTGTGAAACCCAAACAGAAAGTGGCAGCTCATAGCTTGCCACAGTCAAAAAAATTGGAATTCAGGATACAAAGTTGTCAGGACTTGATGGGCCATGAACACAGAGAAAAGGGAACCAGGGAAAATTGTGTCTTCGTGCGATTTCTCTTCAAACCATTTCCTGATGTCTAAGCTGTGCGTGTGAACAATGCAATGCCCAGAAACCAAACAGAAGCAGCTGCTAAGAGGCTGGAGAGCTAAGCCAAGATGCTGGCACGCTGGTGGTGCTGGGTGGACGTAACTGTCAGTTCAGGCACAAAGGAGCAGGCGCCCTGTAAGTAGCTCAGGTTGTCAGCTGAGACCCAGGAGACCAAGTGGCAAGAGTAAGGGCCAGCAGGTGAGCGGCCTTCAGACAAGAGCAACACAGGCTCTGATGGGCTCGGTTTCTGCTGGGACGTGTGCAGATGGCCTGCATGCAGTCTGTCTTCTGCCACAAGCAAAGAAAGCCTTTCTGGAGGAAGGGAACATATTCCTTGCCACACCATGTTTTGTATTCAATCCATAGTTACTAGGCAAGAACAGGGGAGGAGGCACCAGCTGGCAAGGTGCAGCGCAGGGGAGGTGCTATTGCATCAAGGAAGTAACTGTACTCCCTGAGGAATTTATGGGGTGCTCCGTGGGCCAGATGTGGTCCATGTAGGGGGGAAAGTCAGCCTGAAGGCACTTTAAGACCTTGTCCAGTGGCCAGGATGGAGGAGGTAATGGACTCCTCCTAAGAGTCTGCAAGAAGAACTGCAGGCGGGCTGAGGGGAAGCAGCTGGTTCCATTGGGAGAAAGGCCGTCACCCACTTTGGAAGACAATGGGCAGTTCTTACAAAACCAAACATACTCTTACCACAGGAGCCATCATTCACACTCCTTGACATTTACCCAAAGGAGGTGAAAACTCATGTCCATAGAGAAAATGGCACACAGATGTGTACAGCAGTTTCACTCATAATTGCCAAAGCTTGGAAGCAATCAAGATGTCCTGCAGGGAGTGAATGGATGAAAAAGCTGTGGTACGCCCGTACAATGGAATATTACTCAGCTCTGAAGAAGAAATGAGCTATCAAGTAATGAAAACATATGGAGGAAGCTTAAATGTGTATTACCAAGTGAAAGAGGCAAATCTGAAAAGGCTTCTTCATGCACACTGTATGATTCCAATTGTATGACATTCTGGAAAAGGCAAAACTAGGAAGACAGTAAAAAGATCAGTGGTGCCAGGGATTAGAGGGGAGGGAGGGATAAATGGGTGGAGCACAGAGGATTTGAGGGAACTGAAACCACTCTGTATGATACTATAATGATGGACACATCTCATTATACATTCATCAAAATTTATAGAATGTATAACAGCAAGAGTGAGGTCTAATGTAAACTGTGGGCTTTGAGTGATGATGTGTCAATGTAGGCTCATCAATTGTAACGAATGTACCACACTGGAGGGGATGTTGATATAGGGGGCTGTAAATGTGTGGGGCTGTGCATGTGGCGGTCACCTCCTTGTCTACCTGAATTAAGAGTTATGCCTGTACCTTCTCAATTTTGCTGCAAGCCTAAAACTGCACTAAAAAAAAATTTCTGATTAAAAACAAAAAAAAAGCATCACCCACGTCTCATGCATTGCAATTGGAAAAATCCAACAGGAGAATCTTTGAAGTACCCACAAGGTGTCTATGAGAGAGAGAAGCAGCCAGCCATACTTGTCACAAAGATGGCCCTGCTGTAGTGTGGCTCCTTTTCCCTAATCCCCTCTCCCCTGGTCCTGATTCTGGAGGAGTCAAAGACTACAATTGGCAAGCTGTGGTGGGAAGGGAATGCTGGGAAGACGGGAAAGAGGGAAGAGGGGTAGTACCCATAGTTCTCTTTGCAGGTGGCAGGAGGAGAGGAGATTTAATATTCAATCGAAGGGCTTTGGCTACTGCCAGGGGCTGGATATGTTAGTTTCTGACCTGTGACTGTGTTAGCAACTTAAAGTGACAGTAGAACCTGAGAGTGAGCTGAAATGTCATGACAAGTGTTCAGCTGAGGATCTCCAGGCACCTTGCAGAAACAAACATAAATCATCTCTGGAGGAAAGTATTTCTCTGCAAGCCCCTCCGAATTCCCATGGCTTAAATCCAACCTCATATGAACTCAAAAGTTACCAGCACCCAAGAAAGCAAGAACTCTAATAACTAAGGAACACATCATCTTTTCAAAAGTACATGCAACATTTGCAAAAATTGGCATGCAGTAGTCCTTAAAGCAAGTCCAGAAAAACTTCAAAGAATTACTATCAGAGACACATAACATAGAATTATAATGGGAATACTAATTACCGAAACAGAGGATAAAGTTAAAGAGGTAATTTGAGGAAAATCAAAGTGAATATATGAGAAAAGAAGAAGGATTAAGAATTAGTGAACTACAGAGCCAACTTAAGTTAGGGGAAAAAAGAAAACAGAATAAACTCAAGAAAGCAGCAGGAATGAAAAAACAAAGAAAAGTAGAGAAATAAATGAAATAGTAAACTAAAATACACCAGAGAGATTTGACAATGTCAGAAGTTGTGTTTTGAAATACACTAACAATACAGATAAAACTCCAATGACTTTACTCTATGGAAATGAGAGATGGCACAAGTAAACAATTAGGAATAAAAAAAGGGATATACTCATGAGTACAGAAGACATGATGAAAGAAAATTATATAAAAAGTTACATGCTAGTAATTAGAATGTTTAGATAAAAGGACAAATTTCTAGAAACATCTAACTAGCCAAAACTAGTTCAAGGAAAAAATAGCATAAACAATCCCATAATGATTAATTAAAGGTAAAATTAGTAGTTTAAAATGTTCTCATAAAGAAACCCAGGCCTGGGCAACATGGCAAATCCCCATCTCTACAAAAAACACAAAAATTAGTTGGGTGTGGTGGCACGTGCCTGTGGTTCCAGCTACTTGGGAGGCTGAGGCTGGAGGGATCATTTGAGCCCAGGTGATCAAGGTTGCTCATTCAATTATAATCACACCACTGCACTCCAGCCTGGGTGACAAAGTGAGACCCTATCAAAAGAGAAGAAACCCAGGCCCAGATCCTTGATAGGTGAGTTTTACCAATCTTTCAAGGAAGAGATAATTATACTACAGAAGATCTTCCTGAGAGTTAGAAAAAGAGGGAGTTTATTTTCTGAGGCTACTATCATCTTGATTCCAAAACAAGACAAAAATAATATGAACTTACTTATGAACATTGTCACAATATCTTAAATATTGGTAAATTAAATCCAGCAATGTATGAAAAACATGGTCACATTGGGTTATATTGGGATAAAAATTAGCTTAACAATAGAAAATTATTTTATTGAATTTGTCAATCACCACATTAGAGGAGAAAAGCATTAATACGATGTCAACAGATGCACACAAAGCACTCGATAATGTTCAACATCTATTCATAATTACCATTACTACCAGTGTAATTTGTAAATTCAATGCAAGCTACGATAGGAATAAGTGCAGATTTATAAGCAATGCTAATTCTAAAATGTATGCAGAAAAGCAAATATCCAACAATAACTGAGAAATTCCTGCAGAAGAAAAGGTGCAAGTGGGGATCCTGCCTTATCAGAAATCAAGGTTTAGTATAAAGCTCTAATAATTATTATAATCCAGTATTGGCTCAGATCTACAGAAATATAGACCAATGGAACAGAACTGAGAACCAGAAACAGACCCCATTCATAGAAATATGATTTGCCCAGTGAAGAAAGAATGGGCTGTCCAATAAATGATGTGGAGGTAATTGGCTATTTATGAGGAAAAAAGGAAACTGGATTCCTTCATCACACCATACACCATAATCAATTCCACACGGATTACAGACCTTTACAAAAAAATTAGGAGAATGTCCTTACGTTCTTGCAATAGAAAGGATTTCTTAAACAAGGCATGAAATAAAAGCCATAACAAGAGGATGATATATTTAATCACAGAGAAACAGGGCCAGGTCATGCACAGCCCTGTAGGCTCAAGAAAGGGACTTGGTGGTCATGCTTGGAAAGGCAGTGGAGGGTTTTGAGCAAGAGTATTATGTGTTTTACACTTTTAAGAACCACTTTGGCTTTGTGAATAATAGACTGTAGAAGGCAGGAATTTGGACGACTGAAAGTAGCTAGCAAGAAGTCTCTTACAGCAGCCTAGTCATGAGCTCATGGAGCTTGGATAAGGTGGTTATGGTTGAGACAGACGGAATGGAATCAGTATCTATTTTGTGAGAGGAACTCGTAGAGTAGGCATAGATTTTAACTGAATGAGCTAAATCAAAGATAAGTCAGAAGATTTTTGGCCTGAGCAACTAGGCAGCTGTGATGCTATTTACTGAAATGGAGAATCCAAGGAAGGAACTATTTAAGGGGCCGTGGAGAAAGGATCCAGGAATTGTGTCTTGCCTTTTAGCCAACCAGTCAGCTTGGTAAAGAAGGCATTTAGATACACGAGTACAGAGCTGAGGTCAGGAGTGGAGATACATAAATTTGGAGAGTCATCAGTATATAGATGGTATTTATAGACATAAATTAGGTAATTTGGGACCATGCCACAAAGGATCTATGTGTCAAACAAAAGCATTTACTCAACCTGGAATATTTATGTGCTCAAAAAATATTTGATGATTCAAAGTTTTTGGGACTACTTGTATTAGATTTGTTACTTTCTTACAACGTAATAAACATAAAATTAACACTTTGTCTAGTGGTTCTTATTAATGAATATTAAACTGTCTTAGCATTTGCATTTAGTAATAGAAAACACATCAGACAGAGTTGGGAGAATAGGGTTTTTGTGCTTGCTCTGCTGCTTCTAAGTTATGAGATCTTGAGTAAGTCATTAATCCCTTTTTCTTACAGATTTCTCAAGGGTGTTGGACCAAATGCCTTCTAAGATTCTATGATTACAACGGAAGATGCATTATAAAAAACATTCTTTGTAGCAACATTAGCATTTCCGTTTCGAGGAACTGGCTTTGTTTAAAAAAATAACAAATCACATGGGGTTAGCAGGAGAAAAGGAAATAGAAGAGCTAAATGTTCTGCACTTGCAGTCAGCAGGATTTAGGAATTGAGAGGAGAGAGAGGAGAAAGAGAGGGAACTTAGCAAGATGCTGAGGGGGCAGAAGCTTCACTAGGGTTGGTGTGACCAGCAATCCCATGGCAGGGAGGCGAGCCAAAGTGGTTTTGGAACCAGGTTATACTATCCTCATCTGTTGTTTGCATTGCTATGATGTAAATTTCTTTGATCTTCTCCAACCTCCTGTATAAAGTCTGCCAAGTGGAGTATTGGTGTGAACATGGGCTTTACTTATTGCTTGTTTTCTGAATTTTGTTTGTTTGGGAAGAAAAGCCATTTCCATATCTGGATTGATTTGGTACAGAACAGAAGCAGCCTGTAGAGGACTATGCTAGGATCCACACTGACATCCAATTCAGTAGAAATACAGGCCTGCAGTCAGGGGTAACCATAAAAATGTGAGGCTCCTCTGGGAAACCCCATCCATCATTGATTGGCAGGGTGACAGACTGTCTGCAAATCTTGGTCCTGGCATTTAATCCAAGGAAGTTAAAAGATCAGGGTGACCCTCAGCTCTCACTGGCTCTCATTGGCTCTGTATGCACAAAACTTGTAGATTCTGAGTATTCCACCAGTTCTTCATATAATACTTATGTTGCTATGACAGACTTCTTTGCATTATTTGAGGCAATTCCATCTATGTATTTTTCTACTTCTGATTGGTATTTATATAAAGAGACTCTTAAAACCATTTTTATCTAGTCATTTATATTTTAATCTAGCTTTTAATAGGAATTTGTGGAGAAACAGAACATGAGTTTAAAACAAGCTTGTATTCACAAGTGAGTCACATGCTAAAACAAGATTTCTTTCTTTCTTTCTTCTTTCTTCTTTCTCTTTCTCTTTCTCTCCTTTTCTTTCTTTCTCCTTCCTTCCTCCCCCCTTCCCTTTCCCCCCTTCCCCTCTTTCTGTCTCTCTCTCTTGGAGGGTCTCACCCTGTCACCAAGGCTGGACTGCAGTGGCGTGATCATGGCTCACTGCAGCCTCCACCTTCTGGACTCAAGCAGTCCTCCTACTTCAACCTCCTGAACAGCCGGCACTACAGGTGTGCATCACCACACCTGGCTAGTTTTTTTTTTTTTTTTTTTTTGTATTTTTTGTAGAGATGGGTTTTCCCCATGTTGCCCAGGCTAGTCTCCAGCTCCTGGGCAAGTGATCCTCCTGCTTCAGCCTCCCAAAGTGCTGGGATTATAGGCATGAGCAACCACACCCAGTACAACAGGATATTTCCTAATGCAGAAGAAGGAAGAATTGTATTTATCTTTTTCTTATGCAAGAATTTTTTGTTTGTTTATCTGTACAGGATGACAAGGAACTATTCAGCATGAAGAGGAAAAAAGACAAAAACTAGAATTCATTGGAAAAAGTGTTGGGGGTTAACCTAAGTTTTAAAATTTCCTCTTAGCAATTAGATCTATTGTCCAATTTTCCCCTAATTATTCTAAAATAAAAATTTGAAAACTCATGATTGTTTTTAATTATTTTATTTTTTGAATGTTCAAACAAAATTTATGTATTAAAAATGTAGTGTGGGCTGGGTGTGGTGGCTTACATCTGTAATCCCATCACTTTGGGAGGCTGAGGTGGGTGGATCATGAGGTCAGGAGTTCCAGACCAGCCTGGTCAACATGGTGAAACCCCGTTTCTACTAAAAATACAAAAAATGGCCGGGCGTGGTGGCTCACGCCTGTAATCCCAGCACTTTGGGAGGCCAAGAGGGTTGGATCATGAGGTCAGGAGTTCAAGACCAGCCTGGCCAAGATGGTGAAACCCTGTCTCTACTAAAAATACAAAAATTAGCCAGGCGTGGTAGCACATGCCTGTAATCCCAGCTATTCCGGAGGTTGAGGCAGGAGAGTTGCTTGAACCCGGGAAGTGGAGGTTGCAGTGAGCTGAGATCACGCCACTGCACTCTAGCCTGGGTGACAGAGCAAGACTCTGTCTCAAAAAAAAAAAAAAAAAGAAATTAGCCGGGCTTGGTGGAGTGCGCCTGTAATCCCTGCTACTCTGGAGGCTGAGGCAGGAGAATCTCTTCAACCCGGGAGGCGGAGGTTGCACCATTGCACTCCAGTTTAGGCAACAAGAGCGAAACTCCATCTCAAAAAAAAAAAAATGTAGTGTGATAATTTCATGCTGAGACATTCAGCAGTCAATACAGTTGAAGGATACAGAGCAGCTCCACACTGATACATTGGCGAAATCAGGAAGAGCAAATGCACCACCTGGATCTAAATGTCTGCAGACCATTTCATACATACTCCTTTGAAAACATCACTCTTTCTGAAAAGATCTTGTCAGCTAAGGAAGAGAACGAGTACATATATAATCATAAACACACACTAATCATGACTTTAAAAATTAAACAGTATGGTGGCAACATTCATTATGTAAATTTCTAAAATGTTGCATCTTAGGTTTAGTTGGCAAAGACCATATTTAGAAATAAGGATGAGCTTAGTCTTCCAGGTAGAAATCAGATACACTAAACTGTACAAAAATAGTAGTTTCCTATTGTTTGAAAATACCAGTTTAAGATTGTAAAAATGCATAGATCTTTAATAAAAGAATTGGCTGTGCAAGAGTTCTCCCCTTTCACAGTATTCCTTTTTATTTCAAATGCTAGTTATTGGTTATGCTGTAGGATTTAACTATTACAACAAGAAAAGGCAACTATTTAGGGAAGAGGCAGATACAGGAGAAAGGAATGTATATAAGTCATTTTTTTAAGGTACAATAAGCTTAATAGTGTTTTAGGAAGACAAGATAAAAATTATTTAAAGATAGCTTGGTTCTCACTGAATGAAAACAGTAGACTAAATACTGAGTTCTTTTCTGTGAATCTAGTGATCAATGCCTTGGTCGCCATATTGGTAATCTCTAGGGCAGTCACCTTGGTACTCGCCATGTTAGTCATCTGGGTATTCTGTGTGATAATCACTATCACTGATTTTCAAACCATTTGTTTCTGTTGTGAATGATAGTTTCTGTCAGAGCAGCACAGTATTTGCGACCATATACTTGCCCCCCAAGCCCGTGCACACCCATTCTTTTCTGGGAAGCCACTTTGTTGGTACCCATCTGTAGAGAAATTGTCAAGTGGTCTACTGGCTGTAATGTTAGCTTCTGATAGTAGATGGCCCTTCTGGTGCCTGGTGCTAACATCCCTGCCTGGCTGTCTGCTTTGTTAGTGACCATCTGCAGACAAACTGTGGTCTGGTCAAAACGTTTGTCAGTTTGCATGTTGGGATCATAAAGATGCCTGTAGTCCCGTAAGCTGACATACCTGCCTGGCTGGCACTTCGTTGGTTCCCATCCGCAATCCAATTACAGTTTCAGCAGCTTTTAATTTTCCTTCATCCTAACGTCGTGTTTGTTTTTCTGTATATTTAACCCTGATGTCCGTGGTTGTATCCTTTTGTGCTTGCCAACCTACTAGGGCCACCAGAGTAGCCTGAACTTGGGTCACGTTTCCATCCTAAAAAGATCACTTACTTCAAATATGTCACGTGGCTTCACACCATAAGCCTGAATAGCTTTAATAAAGTTGCCAATATTCTCCGCTGAGGCCAGTTTAATGAGGACTCATTGACTTTCTTCATTGGGCCTGCCTGCAGCTTGTTGATGAGTTCACAGAGGAGGATGCCCTCCTTTAAGCCCAGCTGACCTGTGCTATCCAGTTGTGAAGATCTTTTGTTTGATAATCCTATTTGGAAGCAATCTTGATCCTGACTTCGGCCAAGAGCCCGTAGGAAGGGCCCTAGTTGAAGTCAGCCATGATGGTTCGGGTGGTGGGAAGAGGCTGCACTCGGGGGTCCTGATCTCTCGCGTTTGGGTTTCAGGCTCCTGGCAGAAGGAGTGGCCCCCCGGGGATGCTCAGAGCTGGCTCTCCTGGGCGCGGTGCCTGGACGCCTGGGTCCCACGGGGTTTGCAGGCGCTCCAGGGCCTCTCCGGATCCTGCTGGCTGTCCGCACGGAGGCTCCCTACAAATTCAACTTTTTATTTTGCCTAAAAACACTGCTTTTTTTTTTTTTTTTTTTTTTTTTTTGCGAGAGATGTAAAACTAAAAATATGCTTCCTAGTTACTTCTATTCTATCTGTTAATCTGTGGAATAAGGGCAGTGGAGAGAAGAGCAAAAACTGGCCAGAGGCTGCAAGCCAGCTCAGAGCTGCTCACGTGGGGCAGTCTGGTTTGCAAGAATTCCACCTCAGGGGCTGGAAGGGCTAGGGGCGAGGTCTTTGGAAAGCTGGAGAAGAGGAGAGGTGCCAGAAGACAGAAGGGCAAATGTTGTCTGTTTTCTTTAAAAGAGGGAGAAGGTGGAGTTTGCTAACTTGTACCAGTGAGTTCATCGCGTTTCTCTTTCGCCTAATTTTTGAAAATTGTATTCCACGCGTTTGCCCGCCATTACTTTTTAACCAATCTAATGTGGGTGTTAGCGCAGGGTCTGGGCAGGAGGCCTGTGTTGGACTTTCAGGCCCACTGTGTATTGTCTGTGAGGCTGTGAGCAACGTGACACATTTGCACTTCAGTTTCCCTATTTGTAAAATGGGGATAATAATGTCCCCCACATAGGGCTGTTGCAGGGATTCTGAGAATTAGGAGGAACATATCTGGCAGTGACTAGCACGTTGTAAGCACTATACAATTATTCGTGGAGAAAATCCAGAGATTTTTATTGGATGTTTAGGTGTTCCCCGTTTTGTTTTTTTCTTTCTTTCTATTTTATTTTATTTTTTGGTAAGCATAATGTTCTGATGAACATTTTGTTAAGTTATTTTCTTAAGATAAATTCTTAGCTATGAAAACATTTGGTAAAAAGGTATGTACAATTTTCAGACTTTTGAGTTTTATTTCCAGACTAACAGAAAAGCTTTTCCCACTCTTCCTAGCAGTAAAACTGTAGGCATTTCCACTGGAAAAAATAATTATATGTGTGTGTGTATGTCCCAGTTTGCTGAATGTGGGGATGTGGAAATAGTATTTCACTGTTGTTTTAATTTACATTTATTTGATTAGGGCTCTTTACTTGATTAATGGTTCAAGCCACTCTTGTGTAATTCTAGTCCAGCGAGCTAGCCACTCCCATTACTGCAGGCAGCTCTCTCATTTCTCTCACTGGTGAATATAGATCACCAGTCCTCTCAACCACATCATAGGAAATAGTTTTCAGAATAGGTTGCCCTATTCTGAATGTGTTCTAGTTTGTCATTGTCCCTCTTAAAATATGGCTCCAGAATCGAACATGTGTGGTCAGACCAGCTGTTACGTGTGCCAAGGAATAGGATGGTTCAATTATAATGTGTTTTTCTTTGGAGAATCCATTAGTGTGCAGTTTCCTTTGAGTTTCTATTGAATCTTGCAGTGATTTAGGGTGGATTTAGGCCAGAGTAGTTTGGACTAAAGGACTGTTTTTAAAAATTGTGTTTTAAACGGCTTTTTCTCCTTTAACTATTTAACGCTGTTCTAAGACCAGACGGTGGAACTAGTGCCATCTGGGCTCTGGATTCTCTACTTCCATTAGAGTAGCACTGGGTTATATTAGCTATGTTAGCAGCCATCTTATGCTTTGCTTCCTGTAAAGTTGATGGTTAATGGAATGGATTCTTTCTATGTAAAATGATTGAGACATATATAAGAGGAACGAAGGTGGCTGGCTCTGATTCTGAGAGATTTAGCTCAGCTAATGAACAACCTTGAAAAGAGAGAATGGGAGACTTTTTAGTGTTCCTCTGATTGCTCTTCTGGTGCATCAAGGAGATATTAATACCACTGTTGTTTTAAAGCCTTTAAAAATGCGCACACCCCATGGTAATTAATGTCCTCTGCTCATTCATTTTATTTACCTGCAAAACTCAAGGATGAAGGTGGTGGACTTGTGAAATATTTTGAGAGACAATAAATATTGCACATTTATGTGTGAACCACATTTATATGTGACTCATGCATTCCATATGTTTTATTCCATTCATTCGAAGGTACGGAAGCTAGTATGACCTTTGATGAGGCTAAATTCGAGTGTTATTGTTGGAGCTGGGTAATGAGATATACAGAATATTAGACCTAGAGGGGGCTGGTGTGAAGGTAGGAATTGTGAGCAGAGTGAAAGCTTTTTACTAAATGAGGCATCTAATTTGATGCTGAGGACTAAGATTCTAAGAGCTGTCTGGCCTTGAAGCAGAAATGGAGCACAAATGGAAGAGACAGATAGCTCTTGCTGAATCCAGTGGGGTCTGGTATGGAGGGGTGAGATGATGTAAATGCGTCGGCGAGTAAATTCAACTGGATGGGGTTCCCCATTGGTGGTCAACCCGTGTCTACCTCTAGGGTTGAAGCTGTTGATTCGCCTGGTGGTTTTGTGATTTTATGAGATAGTGCCTAACAGGTATGAATCTGAGGTGAGCTAAATCAAAGTATCTCTAGGATGGGGGACAAAAGAGGAATAGGCACAGAAATGGAGAATGGTGATCTTAATCAACCAGAGAATCAAACTCACTAAGTGAAGTGTGGTTGGGTTACTCTTACCTACTATACTCAGAGTGATTCTTTAATAATGTGACATAATTTGAAAGCCCTTATCAGTTTTACAGGTAAAAAACCTTAATCCAAATGGGGATTTATAACTGTGTATAAAAATAAACTGATGCAGGAACTAAAAAGAATTATACTTTTAACTTTAGGAGAAGACACAGACTTACTTTTCATTAAATACTACGCCAACCAAGTTCTCTGGCTAAAATTTTCATGACACTGACTAACTTTTGTGTTGCAAGCACACTTACTCCCATGTTTCACTGCATATTTTTCTAATATACACTGATGTTTTAAACTTTTTGTTGTACACAAAATATCTTACTCGTAGAACACAATTGTTGTATTCAGCAATTGCAAATGCCATTTTGTTGGTGGAATTCTGAATTTGACGCATCAGCTTTCCCTAATTGCCCATGGAGTTCAAGAAAGTAGAGTGGTTTCTACACCTTTATGGTGGCTTACCTGGATTTTGCAAACTCATAGATTCAAAACGTGCTATTACATGAAATAAGTAAGGGACAGCAGAGGAAACATAAAATGAGTCTAATGTAATTGCCACAGCCCTTGGGACCCCCACTCTCTTGGGAGAAGCTTCTGGAACACACTGTACCTTTCTATGACATATCTGCTTGGAGATGCATGTCCTGCTGTTGGGTTTTCCAGAACATTCTTTTAAGAGGAGCTAGCCTCCCTGCTGAACAGGGGCGTTAATTTTTCATGGACTTACACTGTGATGAGGAGCATAAAAAGAAAGAGAGCTTTAGAAAAATAGTACTGAAACAAAATAAAAGAAGTCCTTCTCCGGTTTACACAGCAAATGGAGACTGTTATTGATATTTTGCTTGTTAGCAGACACGGAAGTTAAATACAGAGCAATTTAATGCAATTAACTCTTTGATGTAAATTTCCTGGGAAAGGAAGAAAGATTTTGCCAAGTCTAGCCCATTTAGAATCAGACTAGATTCTACTTGGAGGCTGCAAATATCACATTTTCACTCTGACAAGCAATTCTGCTTGGTAAAAGAGTGGCTTGACCCAGGGTAGGTGCCTATAATGACCCCAGGTAAGTCACTGGCCATGTGAACCTCTGATTCTCCTCCTGTTAAATAAGGGAATCTTAAAAGCTTTCTCTGATTATAGAGTTATCCAAATCTACATCAAAAAGTTTTATCATATAGAACAGTATTTTTTACATTAAATCTGGATTTGCTGCTGTTTTCATAGAAACAATACTAATATTCACTTTCTTCTTTCTGCTTCTTGATATTTTATCTTACCTAAAAAACTGTGATTTTTTTCCCCTGTGTTTCTTAATAGTTACATACCTAAAGTCAGCATGTTGTCCCAAATAACTTCTCAGTCTGTCAAGAACTATTTAATGTCAATTATCTAGAACTTGATCTGCAAATATATAAAAGTCAAAGCCACACTGGTTCTTTTTGCCATCTGGTTTGCCTTTCATTTTTTGGAGCATGGGAACACCAAGTTGAAGTGATTAGGCTCCTCAGTTCATGATAAGTGATCATCACTGGTCATGGCACTGAGGTAGGGAGCTTCTAAGGTGGCCCCCAGTGATCCCCACTTCCTGGTTCTCATTCCCCCATGTAATACTCTTCCCTTAAGTGTGGGCTGGACCTAGTGACTTGCTTCTAATAAATTGAATACAGCAAACATGAGACCGTGGCTTCCAACTTGTACATACTATCTCCTGCTCTGTCACTTGCTCTGAGGAATCAAGCTGCTGTGCTGTGGGCTGCCCTATAAAGAGACTCATATGGCAAGGAACCAACGGCCATGAAGAACTCAGGCCCTTAGTCCAACAGCCCACAAGGAACTAAATCCTGTGGCTAATAACCATGTTGGTGAGCTTAACAATGGATCCTCAGACTGTCATCTGAACTTTCAGATGAGACTGCAGCCCAACCCTTGACTGGAGTCATCTGAGAGACCATGAGTCAGAAGCATCTAGCTAAGCCATGCCTGGATTCCTAACCCATACAAACTTTGAGATAATAAACATTTATTGTTGTAAAGCTACTACAGGCCAGGTGTGGTGGCACATGCCTGTAATTTAGCACTTTGGGAGGTCAAGGTGGCAGGAACACTTGAAGCCAGGAGTTCAAGATCTGCCTAGGCAATGAAGAGAGACCCCAATTCTGCCAAAATGCTACTACTTTTTAGGATAATTCATTATGTAGCAACAACTGGTATAAGTACTCAGATTTTTAATTAATTATTTTTCTTTTTCATGCCCCAATCCTGCCAACGTTCTTGTATCCTACTTAAGCACATGCTGTAATGTTTTTAATACTTTTCCTTAAATATATATGAATGGTTGGAAAATTTGTAATGTTGTCTTGTGTTTACATTCTTTAAGTAAATGGAACTGTGTTTTATATTTTATTCTATGTTTTAACTTTTATTACTTCACTCCATGTTTTTGAGATTTATTCAAATTTCTTATCTAGATATAGCTTACTACTTTTGATTATTGCCTAACATTTCATCATTGGCATTTTAATCATCCATGTTCCAAGTGGCGGACACTTAGGTAACCTCCGGGTACTTGCTGTCAGAAAACAATATTGTAATGAGCACAATCACATCTGTCCTCTTACGGATGTGCCTGTTCATATCTAGGAGTTGAGATTAATGGGAAAATGAGTTGAGATTCATGGATAATTATGAATGCTTTTAGCATTTCTACTTAAATTGGCTTAAATAGTAAGAACCTAAATTGTCTCATGTAACAACAAGCGTTCTAGAGGAAGCATTAGCAGCTCAGTGGTGTAACCAAAGACTCGGGTCAATTTCATCTTTCTGCTCTACCGTCCTCTGTAAGTCAGTGTTATTTTTCCCACTGGCCACAAGATGATTGTAGCAGCTGTGAACATCACACACAGGCATGATCACAGCCAGTGTAGAAGAAGAGGGTTATAGCTTCCCATGCATCTCTTTTTATTACAGAGGAAAGCTTTTGCCAGAAGTCCATTAGTGGATGTTTTCTTTGGTCCCATTGACTAGCATTTTATATATATTATAAAAGAGACTGTGGAAGCAAGTGTGTGGAATTAAAGGACTCCATAGTGGGAGGCACCCTTTACTAACAAGGAAAAATCAGAGAAGCCTGTTTAGAAGTTTCTATTACATAATGTATATACTATTTATAGCCATTAAATACTGACTGAAAGCTATATTAGTGTATCAGTCAGTCGTTGTCAAAAGAACGCTGTGAAATAAACTTACACAGAACTAAATGACTTAAAACACAGCAATTTATTATCAGTGATACATCCGTGGGTCAGTTGGGTGTTTAGGCAGGCTTGGCTCTGGGTCAGGGGTCAGCTGGATGTTTAGGTAGGCTTAGCTCTGGGTCAGGTTTAGGTTGGTTCAGGTTTGCTCCCTGCATCTCTCTTCCTCCTTGGACTGGTGGACTTTGCTAGGGCATATTCTTCTCATGGCAATGGCAGAAACACAAGGGATAAAGCCTAACCAAGCAACCACATGTTGAGCCTCTGCTCAAGTCACTTCTCTTAACATAGTATTGCCCAAAACAAGTCACATGGCCAGGTTTTAAGTCCAGCAGCAGAGAAGTGCACAGGGGTGTCTACCATGAGACCACATTGAGTCACATGGCCAAGCCCAATCACGAGAGGAGATATACTCCTCTGATGGAAGTGGCAGAGAAGTAGTGAATATATTTGAACAATAATCTCATATATCATAACCAGTATTCTCTCACACCAGCAGTGCAAGAAGTTTTTGTATGCCAACATCATCACTAACATTTGGTATTTACCAATGTTCACATTTTTGTCAACCAAATGGTCATAAAGTTGTTTTAATTTACATATCAACAATTATTGTTGGATAAAGTTGAGGATTTCTTCATGTATTTATTAATTATTTGAGTTCTTCCTTCTGTGAATTACCTATTATACATTGGACATTTTAAAATTGAGCTTTCTATATGTTTTTGTTAATTTGTAGGAATTCCTTGTATAACTTTGATATTAACCTCCAATTTATTTTAGATATTGCATTCTCTTCTCCTATTCTATCACCTATATGTTAACCCTGTTTGTGATATTCTACATTGAACGGAAATCTTCAGTTTTGTTGTAGTCAATTTTTTTTTCACCTTGTGTTTTTAGAGTGTTATTTGAAAACTCTTTCCGTACATCCTAATGTCACAATATTAAAAAAAAATTTTATACTTATTTCATAGTTTCAATTTTCATATCTGGGTTTTTAATCAATTTAGAATTGAATTTTTATATGCCATGAGGTAGATATTTGTCTTTATGTTGTGAAGTTTTCCTAACATCAGCTACTAAAAAGTTTCATCCTTTCCTCACTCATTTATAATGCCATCTCTGCTACAGAACAAATTCACACATTTACTTGGGTTTGTTTCTGGGCTTCCTGTTCTGTTCCATTGATCTCTGTCTTAGGCAATGCCAAGACCATATTTTTTTTCTTTTTAATTACTTAATCTTTGTTGTTTCTTAGTGTCTGGATAAGCAAGTTTCCTTGCTTTGTTCTTCCAGATAGCTTTCTAAATGAATTTGTCAAGTTCATACAAGATTCTGCCAGAATTTTGATTGGAATTGCATTTAATTTATAGATCGATTTGAGGACAACTATTTTGTTGAAAGTGCATAAAGAGTGATAAGTTTTTGAAGTTAACAAATTGGAATAAACTTCTTTGGGATGATTTAGATACTCTTTCTTAACTGTTTACAATAAGCCTGGGGTCTCTTAACATATTCAATTGGTATTATTACAATAGGAGAAAATATATGTCAGGAAATGTGTGTATGTGGGAATTTGGTGAGTTGTAGGTAGCAATCATTCTTTTACCATAACACCCACCCTTTTTTCCTTAAGGTTCTTGATTATAAGCACTAGTGCTTGTTCTATTCAGTGATTCATTTAGTTAGTCAAGGGCTAATACCACTTCTAGCTTTGTATTTAACATTCCATGGAGCTATCTATATCTCTTCAAATTTGCCCAGTGTTTCATTTGTTCTGGATAGGTTACCTAATTATCACCCAATGTTAATGAGACCAAGCTCATTAGAATGGTCTGTTTTAGAGTCTTTTACTTTCCTTCTCACCCTGGCTAGCTGTCCTGCAAAGGTATGCTTTTGAGGACAAGGAAAGCCCAGAGAGAGTGTACTTGAAAAAATTCAAACCCTTCACTACTCCTGGAAAATACCCTAGTCATGCACTTGCTAATAGACTAATTTTCATATATAAAGGACAGGACCCGATCATTATTTGTAGCTCATTTAGGGTAGTTAATGAGGAGTAGCCTAATTAAGAGGCTGGAAAAAGTATAGCACAAAGGTGGTCTTGAATTGGCTTTACTCATCTTTGTCCGGAACGTCTGCTCATCTTTTTTTAACCTACGAAAAGGGAGTATGAAGGGATGACCCATTTGAATATTTAGCAACATGTTAAATCCAGTTCAGATTCCATATTGTAGGTTTAAAAAAACCCACTGTTTAAAGAGTGCATTTCTAACATATAATTCACTGAGAGGATAAACATGCCTTTCAATGTTCTATTTAAGATAAAAACTGTATTAAATGAGCCCAGAATTGTTAAACTTAGCTCTGTAAATGTTCAGCAATTTTATATTTTTCCTTTGCTTTGTCTGCATATCTCCTTTTTCTTTCAAACCTTGGTTGGGTTCTTTTTAAAGTCACTGTCTTTTAAATCATGTAATTTTGAGTAACAAGACAGCTAGGTGACATATTGCAATATTGAAATTGTTGAGTCAGGTCTTCTTCATAATTTCACAACTGTTAAAATTCCCACATTGGAAAATATGACTAATTCCCTCTAATTCTCAAAAGTCTTCTCCAGAGAAAAATCACATTTTGTGCTACTCAAATGCCATAGAAACAGCTCCCTCATGGCTCCTCAGCTCAGTGTGGGGCTAACCTCACGGTAGGTTGGTGCTTGTAAGCAATTGTTTGGATGCATTGAAAGCTCTCCTCGTAAGTGTGCCTGAGAGACGAACAGGGCAAAAACCACTGTACAGACCCGAGGTGGACATTTTTAGAAAGAAATGCTTTGTGTACAGTTCAAACTGGTGGGTTCATGCTTTTTAAAGTGCTTTTTAAATTCCCCCTAGAAGTTGTCCAAGTTCCTCCTGCATTCTCCAAATTGCTGAGAGACGGTAGAGACCTCAGAGATTTTTGGATACGTGTGTGGTCACTACATTTCTTTTGGCAAAATAACTGGAGCCATAGGCCCAGCTGAAATTGCTGTTCTACTTGCTTGTAGGTATTTACAGACGCTGGTATTTCTGAGAGCTGAAGACATGTCTTCCTCAATTGTCTAATGCGATCCTCACAACCACCCAATGAAGCAGGCGTTAGTACCTTCCCTGTTTTACAGATGATGGGTGCTGGACCGTTAACCTTATTTTGTATATGGGAAAACTGAATCTCTCAGATTTCATTCTTTGCTCCTTATAGCAGATAATGTCTGTGCATTGCCCAATCATTGCTACTTTCCTTTGTGCCATTCTTGTGTGCCTGTTGGCTTGAGGGGGCTTTCTTCTTCCACAATCTCAGGGTGCTCGAGCCTCCCTGGCATGCACAACCTGAGAGCTGGAAGTGCCAGGGGAATTTACATCTGCTTGGGGTGAGCTTATCCAATGGCTGTTGGCTACAGGGGTCTGAAAGCCTCAGCTCCCTTGCATGGCAGAACAGGCCTTACACTCCTGAGCTCCCTGCAGCCTAACTCTCTGCAAGACTTTGCCTGAGTGAGTTCACCTTCTTGCTTGGCCTCTTCCCTTCCCAGCCCTGCTCCCCGCTCTTACTGGCTTCCTCTAAGAGCATGTTCAAAAAGTCATTTGCACAGGAATCCTCCTCACAGGATCTGCTTCTGGAGAGCCCAACCTAAGATGCTCCTCTTTCCTATGGTTTTATGGGACAGGATGTTCTTGGAGCGTGTTCTTGTGAGATTTAGGTTAATACATTCAAACTTGCAGAAGGTGTGAGTCTTGGAAATTTTAAAAAAGAAAGAAAACTAAATCTAAACCTTTACATGCCTTTTTTCCCCCCATCGTGCATCTCACCTGGGGATACTTGAAGATTTTGTTTAACTTTCCATTTACTCATTCCAGGAGATAGTCATGTACTACATGGTTTTCAATTGCATTGTTGAAGGAAGAAAAGCTGGATATTTTTATTTTTAAGGCATCCTCTTTCTTCGATTCCGTCAACTTGTTCTCACTACTGACTCTACCCCCAAACCATTCTCTATCCTTCCAGTTTATCTGATAGTTCTTTCTGAAGTAAGGAGTCCATCTGCCTGTTATTTATTTATTTATTTATTTATTTAGAGACAGGCAGGGTCTCACCCTGTTGCCCAGGCTGCAATGCAGCGGTATGATCATGGCTCACTGCAGCCTTGACCTCCTAGGTTGAAATGATCCTCCCACCTCAGCCTCCTGAGTTAGTTGGGACTATAGATGTGTACTACCACACCCGGGTCATTTTTATATTTTTTATAGAGATACGGTTTCACCATGTTGCCCAGGCTGCTTTCCAACTCCTGGGCTCAAGCAATCTGCCCGCCTCAGCCTCCTGAAGCTCTGGGATCACAAGTATGAACCACCATGCCCCGCCCTGCCTTTTAAAGTGGAATGAAACCTATCACAGCATAAAATTTATTCCTATGAGAAATGTGATTTATCCTGGGGCAAGAAGTGGTTAGGACTAGATATCAAGAGAAGCAAGCTCAGCTCTCAGAAATCTGGGACATGGAGGTTGGGGGACAGGCTGACAGGTTTTGGGAGAAAAGTGTGTATGTTTGTGTCTGTGTGTGTTAAAAGAACTGTGTGGGTAAAGAACTCCAACCCAGTGAACCCAAGTCAGCATGGCATGGAGTGGTGAGAGGGAGACAGAGAGAGAGATGAACAGAGAGTCCACTTTCCTCCACGCCGCAACACTGGGAAATGGTGGTACTGGCAGCATTTCTCAATGGCTACAGTGAGGGTATGCGCAGGTTTCAGTGGAGGCGTCTACCCTGTACTCAGTTTACCAGAGATCCCAGTAGTGAGGTAAGATGGCACGAGACCAAATACTATGTTTCACAAGTGACACCATGTGGCAGCCACAGTGACAACTGCCCCAAATAGCAGGGTTCTCCTAGGGACTCTTCTCTGGATGTTGAGGGATCAGCGTTAAATTTTATTGTTTTTGGAGTTAGAACAGGGTAATGTTTCTCATTCTCTCTGTAACCTTTCTACAATTTGCTATTGTGGTGTAGGGGCTCTGTTTTTTCTTTCTTTTTTTTTTTTTAAATCATACTTTAAGTTCTAGGGTACATGGGCACAATGTGCAGGTTTGTTACATATGTATACATGTGCCATGTTGGTGTGCTGCACCCATTAGCTCGTTGTTTACATTAGGTATATCTCCTAAGGTGACACATATACACCATGGAATACTATGCAGCCATAAAAAGGATGAGTTCATGTCCTTTGTAGGGACATGGATGAAGCTAGAAACCATCATTCTGAGCAAACTATCGCAAGGACAGAAAACCAAACACTGCATGTTCTCACTCATAGGTGGGAATTGAACAATGAGAACGCTTGGACACAGGGTGAGGAACATCACGCACCAGGGTCTGTTTTTTCATGTTTTTACTTACAACCTGCCTAAGACTGTAAAACCCTAATCTCTTGAAACGAGGCGTCTCCTGCCTTCGGTATTTGTGCTGCGGACTTTGGGACGCTTCCTTTGTTTCTGAACTTGGAGACAGGGCCCTTCTGTTAGCTCTTCTAGCCTTCCCTCAGAAGCAAGCACTTAGTAGTGACACATTTTCTGTTTATTGGCTGCAAGAAGAAGTCTGCTTTCAGTGTGAGGCTCTGAAAAAGTTCGTGTCCTATTTTCTGAATTCCTCCTGTTCTCCATGCCTTCAGGGAAATGCGTGTTCTCTTTTCTAGATCAGCTCTGATTCTGTGCCCGATCCAGGCAGCGTGCCCACGGTTTCCTGAGTCCTTAGATAGCTCTTATCTGACCTACCCTCTCTTACCCAGTGATGAGGTAAAAAGAGCAGAAAAATCTTGAAGCCAACAGATGGCTGTTTCAGAGACTCACCTCTGATCCCTGCTAGTTTGGTGACTTTGAACACACCTCACTTAAACTCTTTGAAACTGCTTTTCCTCTTTACAAAAGGGGGATAATAATACCTCCTTCTTTTATTTTAAGAATTAAATGTGTTAATGTATTGAAAACAACTTATAAAGTGTAAAAGACTTATTATAGTCAAATAAGGCATGATTATAAAACATTATTATGTTGTACACAGCTCAGATTCAACTGCTTCACTGTATCTAGATTTTAGGATTCTGAAAGTTAAAAGCCATTATTTTAAGAGTGTCTTGAAATGCTTTGGAATAAGAATTCATGTAAGGAAATATAGGATATGGAAGAATCTTCCAGAATGCAGACTGAGGAGACTCCTGAAGACAGAAGTCCTTGAACACAACTTGTTCTTCCTGTTGTTGCCTGTGCTAAAAGGAGACTCGGGCAGAGAGGCTGAGGAGACAGCTGAGAGAAATAAGTGTGTGTGTGTCTGTGACTGCGCATGTTTGAGTGTGTGTGAGAGAGCATGTGCGTTTGCGTGTGTGAGTTTGTGGTGCATATGTTCGTGTGTGTGAGAGAGTGTATGCGTATTTGCATGTGTGAGTTTGCAGTGCATATGTGCTTGTGTGAGTGTGTGTGTGAGTCTGTGTGAGTGCAGTGGGGAGAAGGAGGAACTGCACGGTGGCCATTGAGAAATGCTGCCAGCACCACCATTTCCCAGTGTTGCGGCATGGAGGAAAGTGGACTCTCTGTTCATCTCTCTCTCTCTGTCTCCCTCTCACCACTCCATGCCATGCTGACTTGGGTTCACTAGGTTGGAGTTCTTTACCCACACAGTTCTTTTAACACACACTCTACCAACCCTATGAGACAGGTATTACTATTTCTCACCTTTTTTGCATTAAAGAATTGCGATAAAAACATGCAACATAAAATTTACCAATCTTTGTTTTGCAGTGGATCTCCTGACCTTTTTCATCTTGCAAAACAGAAATCTATATGCATTGAACAGCAATTTTTCATTTCCCCCTCTGCCAGCCCCTGCAATCATCATCCTACTGTGTATGAATTTGGCTGCTGTAGGATTCATAGAGTATTTGTATTTTTGTGGCTGGCTTATTACACTTAGCTTAATGTCCTCAAGGTTTAACCATGTTGTAGTATGTGTTAGAATTTCCTTCATTTTTAAGGCTGAATAATATTCCATTGTGTGTTAATATTTCCTTTTTGTAGATGAGGAAGCATGGTGAGATCCAGTTACCTCCCTCAGACTAATTAGCAGGGAAACCAGAATTTTAACCCAGCTGTGGCTTGCTCCGAAACCTGAGCTCCTCATGCCACATTCAACTGCCTCCACAGAGGATTCACTGAGTATGCAGATGCAAATCCTCATGCTTCCAGAATCTCCCCCTGCTCCCACCACTCCATAATATTTTATAGCATGAAGGAAATTACTTTGTTGAAAGTATGAAATGTAAGCCCAACATGACCTCACCAGAGACTACTGGTCTCCTGGGCTGTGAGCTTGTACCATTTGAGAAAAGGAAGTTTAGAGAACAAGTCTCCAGTATGCCTTTTCCAAGGTACACTTGCCATCTCGTGTCAAGGTTTTCTGCAGTGTATATTTGGGGGAGGGAGAGGCTGAGGAGGGAGGCCATGTTTGGGTGAGCTGTGCATATAGGCGAGGCTGAGCAAGGAGGAGGAAGAAAGTTACCCTGAGAATGTGTCTGCCAACATGTAGGGATGTCCATCATATATTGCTAACTGAAAAAATCTAGTTGGCCAGGTGCGGTGGCTCACGCCTGTAATCCCAGCACTTTAGGAGGACGAGGCAGGTGGATCACCTGAGGTTGGAGTTCAAGACCAGCCTGGCCAACATAGTGAAACCCCATCTCTACTAAAAATACAAAAAATTAGCTGGGTGTGGTGGGGGGTGCCTGTAATCCCAGCTACTCAGGAGGCTAAGGCAGGAGAATCGCTTGAACCTGGGAGGCGGAGGTTGCAGTGAGCCAAGATTGTGCCACTGCGCTCCAGCCTGGGCGACAAAAGCAAAACTCCGTCTCAAAACAAAAACAAAAACAAACAACAACAACAACAAAAGTCTAGTTGTGAACCGTTGGGTGGTCTGATACTATTTCAGAATTGCAGAGAGACAAAAATCACATCCAAGTGTTGATATATGTGGATGTGGATTTGTGGGTGTAGGAAGGGGTTGTTACAGGAAACTAATGAGATGACTGTGTGTCCAGCACAGAGTTGCTCTCTAAAATATGTGGTGAACGCAGGAAGGCATGGCATCGGGAACTCTGGCATGCCAAAGGCCTGTTTTCTTTTTTCTTTTTTTTTTTTTATCTTCAACTTTCATTTTGAGTTCAGGGGTACATGTGCAGGATGTGCAGGTTTGTTACATAGGTAAATGTGCCATGGAGGTTTGCTGCACAGAGCATCCCATGACCTAGCTATTAAGCCCAGCATCCATTAGCTATTCTTCCTGATGCTCTCCCTCCCCCACTTTCTCCCTCCACCAGACCCCAGTGTGTGTTGTTCCCCACCATGTGTCCATGTGTTCTCATCATTCAGCTCCTACTTGTAAGTGAGAACATGCGGTGTTTGGTTTTCTGTTCTTGAATTAGTTTGCTGGGGATAATGGCTTCCAACTTCATCCATGTCCCTACAAAGGACATGATCTTGTTCCAAAGGCTCATTTTCAAGAAGGCTTCCGGACCCCTTGGGACTAAGTATAAATTTCATTAGTGAAATAAACTCAAAATCTTTACTGATTTCGAATAACATATCTCTTCCCAATCTACAAGATTTTGCATAATATATCTCCTCCCAATCTCTCTAACGTTTTTTCGGCCACTTACTTCCTCTTGTTAATGTCCGACCAGATTGGTCTTCTTGTAGTTTCTTCCGTGGCAAAGTCTTCCCTACCCCCGCTCCCTGGCATGTGCTGTTGCCTCTGCCTGGAAGCCATTTACCTCACTCTCTCTGCCTGACTCCTCCTCAGCATTTGGGTCTTAGCTTCTGGGTCATCTTTTCACAGAAGCCTACCCTGACCACTGTGTCCAGTTTTGGTGTCCCTCCTACCTGATAACTTTCTACCTCAGTTCTTGTGTTTGTTTTTTTACAGCACTTTTAAAACTTGCAATCTTTTTATTGAGTGGTGTTGTTTTTATGTTTGCTGCCTCCTTCCCTGGATAGGAAGTAGGGTGGGAGCTACAGCCATGATGTTCCCATTAGGTACTTTGTGCTCAACACACATCCATCCTCAATACAGGCTTGCTGGATGAATGCACCCAATACCAGGCTTTCAAGGATATGACATAGTGGAAAAATAATCCCCAATCTCTGGCATAGATCCTATTCCATACGTATTTGTTAAATTTAAAAAAGGAAATTTGAGGGCAATGCAGAGGAAGAAGCAGTGAATGAAGGAAAGAGGAGGATCTACTTGTGGTGAGAATTCCACAGAGAAGTGGGCAATTCGTGCTGAACTGAGGGAAGAGCCGAAGGAGTAAGGAGCCATTGGGGGACCAGGCATTGGGTAGGTACAGGATAATGTGAGCAGACTCTGGAAACTTGGCACGAGGCCAAACACTGTACACCACCCGCCACAGAGGCCACTTTTGGAAGCCAAGAGTTGGAGCTTCTTGGAAAATAAGTCGTGAAAGGTCAAGTGAAAGGCCTAGAACTTTGAAAGAAGTGCTTTTCCTTGGGCATAGGCAGAGTTGCTTGCAGTGTGAGGGACCCAGTGGTTGGAGCCCAGGGTTGTCAGAGACCAGGTCAGCAAGCAGGGTCAGGGACACTGGGACCCAGGAAATGCATAGTGCAGGCCTGGACAGAGATCACCCAGCAGCGGGCTCTCTGGAAAGGTACCCTGCCTGGAATCCCAGTGCTCTTGCCCCTGACAATCAAAGGCCGACACTGTGCTGGATTCCCCAGGCAGGAGAGCTAGCATGCAGCTGAGATGTTTGAAGCTGCAGTCACAAACCCACATCTAAAAAGCAAAAAGCTACACTCAGGGGGAGTTTGAGCACCACCATCTCTTGTTGATGATCTGAGCTCATGAGATTTTTCATGGTTCTGGGAGAAAGAAGTTGCAAACAGCATCTTCTCTGCATCCAGCAAGTTATTAAGAAAAAGCACAATCAGAGCAAGGGAGGTGGGACTGGGGCTTACACTCTTGAGACCTGTTCCACTGCATGGCTCCTCACGGCTTCCCACTGCCCTTGACCTGTGCTTGTTTTGGCCCTCACCATGATGTGGTGAGCCCTTCTGACCTTCCAGACCCTCTCCGTGAGGCACCACTGTTAGTTCCAATTTTAAGAGGAGGAAACAGACTCAGAGGAGATGAAGAACGAAGATCAGATCTTCCCACTTGCTGGAGACTCATGCTGTGTCTCTTGTGGATTTTAAAGAGGAGAGTGATGTGAGTTAGAATAGCTGAGCCGTCTATGTGGGTGTGGCCTGAACACTGGCTCTCAGATTTGTGGGTTTTGGTGCTTGGTTTCACTGTGTAAGGTAAGAGAAGAGAATAGCTTCCTGAGCAGGTCTTCCTGGGATGCAATTTTCTATGCCCTGGGAACCGTGCACCCTGGCCTTCTGGGGTTTGGAGAGAGTGTGAAGGAGAGCAAGATACCCCTCTGACAGGCATCGCTGGGGGAATCTGAGCTTTCGTCCTGGATGCTGTGTGTTCTCCTTAATGATTGCAGGGAACCCAGTGTCCCTCCAGAGAGAGCTCATGGCATCAGAGATTGCACCATCCAGAACTCAAACAGGAAAAGACTTAGGTTAACAGAGGTGGACACTCTGGAAAAACTGATAAGATCAATCTTGCATAACGAAAGTGTGCATTTCACAATTTGTAAAATTTCTCGGCTTATTTTTTTTTGACGGAGTCTCACTCTGTCGCCAGGCTGGAGTGCAGTGGTGCGATTTCAGCTCACTACAACCTCCTGGGTTCAAGTGATTCTCCTGCCTCAGCCTCCTGAGTAGCTGGGACTACAGGTGTGCACCACCATGCCCAGCTAATTTTTGTATTTGTAGTAGAGATGAGGTTTCACCATATTGGCCAGGATGATCCTGATCTCTTGACCTTGTGATCCACTTGCCTCAACCTCTCGAAGTGCTGGGATTATAAGCATGAGCCACAGCGCCCGGCCTTTCTCAACCATATTTGATCCAAAATTCTTCTGCTAAAGATACCAATCTTATGAGAAGCTTTTATGTGATTTGATATGAGAAATGGTTATTGTGGTGAAAACAAATAGCAATTTTAGAAAATGCTTTTTTTCCAATCAGCAAGCCTCACCCTCCATTCTCATAGGCTTTGTCGAGAAAATGCCATTCTCGTACAACTGTTGAAAATCACTGGATATTTCTTACAGAGGATGGATGGAATGCCTTATGGTAGTGATTTTTGGAAAACGGGTCTTGAAAAAGGCTGTGCCAGAAATATTTGGTGAGATTGTTAAAAATGACATTCCTGGGCTCTGCTTCGTGAGGTCTGATTGAGTTGGTCGGGCTGGACTAAGGAAACTGTGTAATCAGAGTTCTCCAAGATGATTCACCCACATTTGGGAACCAGTGACCTAGGGCAGGCAGAGGATTTGGCAGAGGCATTTTCTTCATACACAGGGTCTCTGGGATGCCTTCTTCCCACCGCCTCCTGCAACCAAGCCTGCCTCTCTAGGGAAAGGCTACAGAAAACGTCCTCTGGAGTCAGCAGTCTTCCTTCACCCAGTTAAATCCCTATTAGTAAAATAAAATGTAGCTCTTAAAAAAAAAAGTTCATTTTGCAGAAGTCCAACTGAGGGGAATTCAATTAATGTGGAAATGTGTTCATATAACTCATCACCCATCCTACTAAGCTGCCTTCAGACCTGTCATCTGAGGCAGGAAGAGCTTCTGTCAGCCAGATGGAAACTGGGTCACGAAGTGTGTGAAACACGAGGCTTTTCCCCAGGGCGTCTCTGAGCTCAGACGTCCAGGGAGTGAGACATATCTAAAATCCACCCATTGACTGTTGGGATTCAGCAGAGCTCGTTAATTTTTCGGGAGACCACACACTGTCTTGGGCAAGCTGTCTGCCCTCTCACCTGCTCACTGGGGTTAGGTCCTGCAATTGCCAGGCCAACACTGGTTAGAAATGGGCTCTTATGGCCAAAGTCTCCTCCTCAGTCCTTTTCTCTCCTCTTGCCAGCTTGTGGCTGGGAGGCTCATCATCTCACCTCATCATCTCACTTGAATAGGATATAGATGGAACCTCTAGTCCTAACCTCTTTCAACAGCCCTGTGTCTGAATTTCTTCTTGCCTGCTGAGTACTTCTCAAATTTGGATGTGTTGTCTACCAGGTCAGCAGGCAGGGTCATTGACGCTGGGACCCAGGAAATGCACAGGGCAGGCCTGGACAGGGATCAACAGGGGCCCTCTGGAAAGGTGCCCTGCCTAGAATCCCAGTGCTCTTGCCCCTGGCACTCAAAGGCTGACACTGTGCTGGATTCCCAAAACAGGAGAGCTAGCCTGCAGCTGAGAGGTTTGAAGCTGCAGTCACAAACCCACATCTAAAGAGCAAAAACCTAGACTCGGGGGGAGTTTTCAGTGCAGCTCAGACTCGGGGGGAATCGATCATCTCTTATTGATGATCTGAGCTCACGAGATTTTTTTAATGGTTCTGGGGGAAAGAAGTTGCAAACAGCTCAAGCAGCTCTTCCCCCTGAATTTCCTATTTCCACCATGCGTCTTTCCTTGGCTCCTTTGCACTCCAGCTCCCGCTTCACCACCCCCACATTGAATCATTGGCTACTGAGACCACTGTCAATTCTCCTACCTCTTTGGCTAAATCTGACAGCATTTAGGGGAAAATTTGATGAGCTGTTTCCAGAATTGTTCACAAACCCACAGACGTACAAATGTAACCACATACATACGTACTACCACGCCATCGTTCAAATCAATGCTTTCCTTTTCTTGCTGTTCAAAAACCTCAGGATGAGATGGCAGAGATGCAGCAATGATTGCAATTAGTTGGCACAACCCACGAAAACCTGCGAGGTAGATAACAGGGTGGACGGAGGGGGCGGTGGAGCAAACATTTCTAGATTTAGTCTTGATCTTGTTGCCTTAACAACTTGATGTAGATTTCAAAGAAGTAGGCATTTTTCTTAATAATCCTTTTGAAAGCCAGAGTCTTTATAACAAAAGCACTGAAAATAGCCAACCTTCTATCCAGTGGCTTTTGTGGCTGATTGTTCCCCCTCCAGAAAGACCCATAGAAGTTTGAGATCAAGACCTAATGAGAGAAAAAGAACAGGTAATTCTTTTCTATTTTTTTTTTAAGATGGAGTCTCACTCTTTTGCCCAGGCTGGAGTGCAGTGGTGCTATATCAGCTCACTGCAACGTCCGCCTCCTGGGTTCAAGCAATTCTCCCACCTCAGCCTCCTGAGTAGCTGGGATTACAGGTGTCCACCACCACCTCCAGCTAATTTTTGTTATTTTAGTAGAGACAGGGTTTCACCATGTTGGCTAGGCTGGTCTCAAACTCCTGACCTCAAGTTATCCTTCGGCCTTGACCTCCCAAAGTGCTGGGATTACAGGCATGAAACACCATACCCAGCAGAACAGGTAATTCTTGCTAAATGCAAAAGGCTTATGCCAGTGTCCATGACATCTCACTCCAAGCCCAAAACACTGGGACTGATGAACATTGTTCTCACTTCTTCAATCTGTGTAATCAGTAACATCTCAGGTGGGCTTTTCACATTTATATGTTGTGCTTAAATACAAGGTTAAACTATGGAAACTTTTTTTTTTTTCTTAAACATCAATTTTTTAGTCCTGTGTTTCTCAACCATTGGGCCATGGACTCTTGTGATGAATTTTTGCCATCTTACTTGCTTGTGTAATTCTCTTCTGGGCTACAGCATTCCTTCTTGGCCATTCTTCCTCTTCTCTGATTTCATGGTCTTCAGTAAGGAGTTTATAGTGTTACTAGAGTGTAATAAGTATGATTTTCTCTACATTTTGCTGCTCTAAATAATCAATGCTCGAAGATCCAAGTGTTTCTCTTCCTTCTTATACACTGTACACTGTATGAAGGGAGAGTAAACATTTCTTGAATATGATGTCCAAAGTGTGCATTCAACTGCATGACATGGCTAAGATGATCACATTTCTTGCAAGGGTGCAATTCTTGTTTAGAAAGTCGCTTATGGAAGCAATGTGGAATATTTTCCGCGTATCCTTGGCATGGACCCAGTGTGGATTTGGCATGAGGAAAACCTTTTATACAACTTGACCACCTTCATTTAGCTCAAGTCCTTCCAGTGAGAAGTGGAAGGGGTTGATCTAGGAGGAATTGGGCGGTGTGTTTCATTGAGTTGTGGGCAGTGTCTCTGGGAGAAAGGAGGGCATCTGTCCCTACTAGCTGACTCCATGAAAGTGTAAGCAGAGCTCACACTCCTGCATCCTCCAATCTGTGTGTTCTCACATTCATGTGGGTTGTGAATGCAGAGAGAGAAACTTGTACATTAAGAAGCCCTCATGAATCTTCTCTGTTTCTCAGGTTCCCCTTGAGAGCCATCGTTGGTCATTTCATCTTTCTTAGGCGACTTTTAAGATTCTTGGGGAAGAAAAAAAAGAAATGGTTTTTTTGGTTACTTCCCACTGGGATACCTTACAAAGAAATAGTGGGGCTGAAAAATGTGAAGTGGAACATAAATTCCGAAATACCCTAGAAAGTGCTGAGCTCAGAGCCAGTGCTGGAAAAATGAATCTAAATCATAACTCCTCCAAAAGGTAAAAACACCCCTCCCATTTAAAAACACAAATAAAACACACATTTTCTGCATGCATTCAAATTTATGGTTCTTAAATTATTTTGTTGGATTCTGCTACATGATGTATATCACCAATATTTCTGATTTCCAGATGAGAAGTGGGAAATGATATGTTAATGAATTATAGATTTGAACCAAAGTTAAAAAAAAAATGAAACCAAAATGCTTTTCAGTCAGTTCTCTTTTGTTTTGTTTGTTTTAAATTCAATTATTGTCCTGCTCAGTGACATTTGTCATTGCTTTATAGGTTTGGTTTTGCAAGGCCTGTGCTCAGGAGGTTGTTTATTTCCTTCTGCTTACCTTGCCTGCAATTAGGATGTGTGGGCAACAAGTGGATGATAGTGCCTTATAGCTCAGCAATATAAATGTTAACAAAGAGAAAACTGGAGTGTTTTCAATTAGATTTTGCTTTTGACTTACCATTTCCTCCTAAAGTAGTTTATCACAAAAATTGCCAACATAATAACCTTCTCTAATAATATTAGTCATCATGCTATAAAGTAGTGATTTTTCTAGAGTAATGCAGCTCCCAGTTGAAATTGTCTTGTTGTCTTAGCCTGGGTTTTCCCTTTGTGCTACTATCTTATTGAGGAGTAAACTCCCAGGGAGTATGAGTAAGGAACAAAGGGTATGGGCAGGAGAGAAGGGAGGGCCAGTAGAAGTTGCATTAATAAGCTGGCCATAGCTGCGTGTGTGTGGCTGGTTGCTCCATGTCATGTGATTGTCCTCTGAGAAGACAATATATAACTGTGTTGCAGGATAGCCATCCAGGAGAAGAAAGGTGAAGAATTACCTACATGTTCTTATGTCCTTGCCCAAGGGGAGCCCCTTAGAGGCAAATTATCTTGCCCTTCTGGATTGCACACATCATTCCCACAGCTCTGGCCAATGAGCTCCTTGACGAACTTTGTTATATTTTACTGACTCTTGGGCTGTTGTCAGTGGTGTAGGCATCTGGTCAGCTGCTTGGGGAATGGTAGACCAGCTGATTAAAGATACCCCCTTTTGAGGCCATGAGCTATGGAAACCAATCACAGCTGCTGGTCAAGTTGTCTAAGTCACTAACATGGATGTCCTCTTGATCAACACAACTTAGTAAAGCAGCTGTCCCCGGAAAGGGATTATCTCCCAGCTGCTTTGTGGGTAATGGTCAGGATGAAAGGGATGAGGGTTATTTAGGCTCATGTGAATATTTGGAGTTCACTCCCACCACTCCAGGGCATTATGCTCTTTCTTTTCCCTAATAGCAGCTCTAAGCTGAACTCCTTGGTGCACCCTCAGGATGGCAGCCCAGCCAAAAGGGACCAGGAGATTCAAATTTATTACTGATTCAGTCACCTGGATTCTCCTGTGGGATTGCCATGATCCTGGATCATGAGGATAATTGGCTGAGTACATTCTTAGTGGTCCCTCTACAGTGGCCAAATATGGGCTATAATGGGTCTCTGTAAGCTTTATGAAAAGACCCTTCTTTGTCTTTCAACTGACTCTTGTGGATAAAACATCTGGGTGCAAGTAGGAAATGATTGTACAAAAGGCGAAGTCACACCTACTGGAACAGGAAACTTCAAGTTTGTAACGGTGAAGGGAGAACAACTTTGACACATGAGGTGGGAACACTTTAGATTTCAGGATGTACAAAGAAGGAAAAACATTATTGATCTTTGCCTTTCCGTATCACCCCTAGATCCTCTCCCACTGGTGTGGCTCCTCTAGCTGGTCAAGCTTCTTAAATTTAACTGCTCCCTGGGTCTGCCATTCTCCACTGGAGAGCTCTTGCCTCTATGGGATTGCCATTCCCCTTAACCTCACCATGTTTCCCCTGGAAACAGCAGGGGCTGGCCCCGTTCCTGAGCTTTTCACACACACTACCTATAAACCCCTGTTTATGAGACTCAGCCATTCCATGGAGTAAATGAATGTCACCCAGTTGGTGGCATGAACAAGTGGGCCAGGTTATACTATGTCCCCTCAGGCAGTTCCTCCAAAAACAAGGACTAGACTCAATTATTTGAACTGAGCAGGAATCCTAAGGTCAAACAGCTAGCCACAAGGCTATATTAGAGACACCATTAACTTGTGTCCTTGACAGATATGAATCGCACTTTGGAATCTCAATGATTGTAAGCAATATATTCTTTCTAGTAGCACATGTACTTCCTGGGACTGTACTCATGTGGAAGCCAGGCATTAATTTGCCTTCCTCCTGAGAACACAGTGACCTTCACTTTAAAGATGATCATTAAAGAGAACTTCAAGGGCTTAAGAGGTTTCTACTAATAGGTAATTTAGCCTCAAATGACTGTAGAGATATCACCTAATGGGCATATCCTGGTGTACTTGGGAGGAGCTTCCCAGAGGGATAACTTACTTATTATTTATGTGCATTATGCAGACAATCATCCCTAAGATGGAACCCATCTAATTAGAAAAGGTGGTATAAAATTTGTTGCTGATCTTAGCTGAAGTGATCAGTAGCATCACCTAGAATCTGGAAGACATTCAGGCCAATCTCAACTCACTGGCCAGGGTTTTTAGGGATAACAGAATTCAGGCTGCTTCTTTGCAAGCCAAGGCGGTCTGTGCAATCACTAATGCATGCGGTTGTGCCTGGATTAATGCCTTGGATGAAGGCGGAAGGTTAATACAGAAACATAATAATAAAGTCGCCTGGTTTCATTAGACCCTTATGGTTTATGGGAGTTGTTCAGCTGGTTGGATCTGGGACACTGGGAGCATGACTGAGATCAATACTGTAGGTTTGCCTCCTCTTGCTGCTTGGGGTCTTATTAATAGTAGTCTCAATTAAATGTTGTATGAAACAAGTGGAAAGGATTTGAGTCCTCGTTGGGGGTCAGATTAATCATAATTATTGACAAAGTGGAGTATTATAGGGTAATTCACCGGAAGCCACGACAGTGTAAAAATTAGGGTGGGTATCACTGGTAAACATTTTTTTATGGTTCTCTTGTGTTTCTGCATGCCTGACAGCCAAGGCAGTTGCAAGCAAGTCCCTTTGTTCTAAATTATCTTTTCATGGATGATTGTATAGCAAACATTATCTCTACCTATGTTTGTTTATATAGCAAACATCCTTGGAAGATAGGAATACTGTATTTGCCTGGAATAAAGAGCCTACACACTGCTCATAATAAAGCACTCATGTTTTGCAGCTTCAACTCTCTGCATGTGCAGGTGGCATCTGGTGCTCTTTGGATGGGATGGATGTACATGTGTGAATTAGATCTCAGAGAACTGACAAAAAATGCTCATATTTTGGCTACTGCTATTGCTATGATTAATAAACTGTTTTTCATTTCTGATCCAGAAGTCATATCTTTTATGAGCATCTCTAAAACTGTAGCACGCTAACTCATTAGCTCACAAGAATGGTAAAATATCAGATCCTCATGGTTCTTGGCAATATAATATTACTTATTATATACTACATACCATGTAATTATGTATTTTATACTATCTAATGCATAATTATATAGAGAATATAATTTTATGTTTTATAGTATCTAAAATATATAATTATATATAGTATATTATTTTATTTAATTACGTATGCTGTGTAATTATGGTACATATCAAGTTAAAAATGTACAAATACACATTATACCTAAAATAACAGTTATAGCTCATAAGGCAACAAAGGAAATAAAATGGAATTCTAAAAAATGAAAAGGAAAAAGGAATAAAAGTACAGATGTGACAAATAGAAAAGAAATAGCAAGATGACAGACTTAAATTTAACCCTACCAGTAATCACATTAAATATAACTGATCTAAACACTGCAATTAGAAGGCAGAGATGGTCAGATGAATAAAAACACAAGAACTAACTATATGCTTCCTTCAATAAACACATTTTAAATGTAAAAACACAAATAGGTTAAAAGCAAAAGGACAGAAAGAGATACATTATGTTAATAAAAAGAAACTGTATTGGCAATATGAATGTCAGACAAAGTGGATTTCAGAACAAAATAATATTAGCGATAAAGAGGGATATTTCATAAAAAGGGGTCAATTACTCAAGAGGACATGACAACCCTGAACATTTATGTACCCCAAAATAAAATTTCAAAATACGTGATAGAACTGAAAGGAAAAATAGATAAATCTATAGTTACAGTCAGATATATCAATCTCAATAATGGATAGAAAAATTAGGAAATCAGCAAAGACTGGGAAGACTTGATTAACACTATCAACTGATTCGAGCTAATTGCCTTTTATAAGACACTTTATCTAACAACAAACTTTTTGAAGTGCGTATGAAAAATCTACGAAGATAAAGAGATAGTAAACTTCTTAGGGTACGCATAAATCATTAACTGAATGTTGGTGGAAATATGAACCTAAAGTCCATTCCGGTGAGGTCTCACAAGGAGATGAGGAACATGTTGTTGGAAGCTGCAGGAAAGATGATCTCTGTCATAATGTGGCAAAGAACGGACTGAACTGTCTTCTAGTGTTTTGTGAAGGGGGGTAGAACTTGTGAGTGATGAAATTGGAGTTTTAGCTGAGGAGATTTCCAAGCAAAGTGTTTGAAGAAATGGCTTGGTTCCTCCTGACTGCTTACGGTAAAATGCAATAAGAGAGAAGTGAATTTAAGAAGGAAATGTTAAGCAAAAGGAAGCAGAACTTAAAAGTTTGGAAAATTTTTAGCCTATCCATAATGCAAAATATAAAAAGCTTGTTCTGAAGAGAAAGCTTGTTCTGAAGCCTGAACAACAATTTGGGAAGGAGATTAGTATCGGTGTGATGCAGGCACCTAGACACCCCAGCAGAAACATCGACAATTTGAACTGAAGGAGACAGAGCTAGAATGAAATAAAGAAAGGCCATCAGACTTCTTAGATAACTACAGGACTGGACCATAGAGATATTTGGCTGAAAATACACACTATTCTTCAAGACAAGGGAAGAATGACCCTGAATGGGATTCAGAGATCATTCAGAGTAATGAGTCCAGAGCTAACAGGCTGCACTTCAGCAGTAACATTTTATTTGACTAGCACTGAGTGAGCTTCCTCACTCCTGTGAGGATATGGTAGTTTCCTTCTTTTATTCTCAACTCAACTTAGAAAAATCAGTCAATAGTCAGTGGGTGATCTTCTTTACATAGGAAGTTGATGACAATCCACTAAAATTACGCAACTAAATTGTCAACTAATGTGACCATTACATAATGAAAATATTTAATAATGAAATTTCCAAGACCATCAACAGGCAAAGAAACTTGACATCTTTCAAAGTTAATTAGCAAATGTTTATCAATAATGCTTATTTTCTTAAGCGTTTTCAAATGAGATAATTTTAGATATTTTCTCATTGAGTGAGGCATCATGTAGTGTTTGGGATGAGGAAACAAAACTAAACTGTGTTTTGGGTTGCGTAAATGTCAGAGATCAATGCATTGTTAAATAGAAGGCATTCCACTTGGGAATGACTCCTTTAGTCTTGGTTCTGCCCTTCATGTGAAAATGGAACATTCAGAGAAGCCTTATTTGCTATTGAATATCTTTCTCTACAAAATTAGAAACAAATAACTAAGCCAAGGCTAGGTTTTGTGTCAATCAAATGAATGGGCCTGTAGATAAAGCTTTGCATTAGGATTCCGACGTCCCTGGCACAGAGATGGATTTTTCCCCCTTCATTCAATAAAGAATTCTACTGGAAAAAACTGTGGTATTTTCATGGGTAGAATAACTCAACTTCGTAAAGTTCTCCAGTCAATTCATAAATGTAATGCAATTCCAACAGCCTTTTAACCAGTTAAATAGATTGTAAACATCTTGTGAAAAAGTGTATAAGAATGACCAGGAATATTTTAAAAAAGAAAAACAATGAAAGAGTACTATCTTTGTTTGATATCAAAACATATTTTAAAGCTACCAGAATTAAAACAATGTGGTATTGGTGCATGTCTAGGAAAACCAATAAATGAAACAAAAAGTTCAGAAGCAATACATATTACTAATTTAGTAGGTGATATAGATGGAATTTTAATACAGTGAAAGAAAATAGGGAGTACCGAGTTAACGCTTTTGGATCATCTTTATAATTATCTGGTAAAAGACTGAATTTCCATCATACATATTATATACACAGAAATCTACAGATTGGCTACAATTTAGGTGTTCAAAATGGGAATTAAAAGTATTATAAAAGCATATAAGATTCAGAAAGTTTAAATAGATAAATATTTTCTAATAATAAAACCATTAAAAGTTGATAACATTTTTGACAAAACAATAGCATTGCAAAAAATTTTAAACAAAGTGAAAACACAAAAGGAAAAAGGGCCAATTTCACATATATAAGCATATATATTTATATGAAGACCAAAACCCAACAGGAAAATAAAAAAAAAAGAAAGGATAATTTATTTCTTTTCCTTTCTTTCCCTCCCTCCCTCCCTTCCTTCCTTCCTTCCTTCCTTCCTTCCTTTCTCTCTCCTTCTCTTTTTCTTTCTTTCTTTCTTTCTTTCTTTCTTTCTTTCTTTCTTTCTTTCTTTCTTTCTGTCTGTCTGTCTTTCTTTCTGTCTTTCTCTCTTTCTCTCTTTGTTTCTTCTTCCTTTCACAGGGTTCCACCATGTTGCCCAGGCTGGTCTTGACCTCCTGGGCTCAAGAGATCCTCCTGCCTTGCCCTCCCAAAGTGTTAGAATTACAGACGTGAGCCACTGCAAATGTCCCTGAAGGGGTAACTTATAGTAAAGAAAATATAAATGATTGTTCTCAAATGAAACAAAATGGTGTTCAACTGTATTTATAATAAAGGAAATAGTAATTAGAATGATAATGATGCATAATTTACTTACCTATTTTTAACCTGTAACATTAGTAATACATGCTGCATTGGTTAGAATGTACAGACATAGGTTCTTTCATATACTGTTGGTGGAAATGTAATTTGGTACAACCTTTACACAGTGCAATGTAGCAATGCCTTTTAACATGCAAGATGCTTATACCCTTTGACCTTCTACGAACTTAAGCTCATATTATTAACTTTAGGTGTACAATGTTTTGTTATGTAAACTACATTTAACTAATTATTAGGTTGATGCAAAAGTAATTGCGGTTTTGCCATTACTGTCAATAGCAAAAAACAGCAATTACTTTTGCACCAATCTAATAGTTTGCTTCCAATTTTTTGCTACTATAAACAGTGTTGTAATATAATCTTTTAAAATAACTCTACACACTTGTATTATTTCTGAAGGACAGATTCCTGTAAGCATAATTGTTGAATCATTTCTAGCTTCTCTGAGTGAACCTGGAAAAATAAACTTGAAATTCAAGGCCTATTATAGATGCCATCAGTAAAAAAAGAACCTCCTTTCCTTTCCAAATACTTCTATCTACTTTTCTTGATAGTTTCTGCACCTGCCTTCAAAAGTTCACATTTTCGTTACAGTTTTTCTTAATTTGCCTCTATCTCTGCACTGTCATGGCTACTATTCATAGCATTTACCTTCATAAAAAATAGCCACAGTTACTTAGGACTTTACCTTATTATAACTTTTCTTTTTAAATGGATTTCCATTTGTTGTGTCTAATTTTTCTTAGTGGAGACAGTAGAGGTCTGCTCAGAGCAGCTTAACCAAGCCATCTGTGTGTACGGAAAAGCAGAGACAATTAAAACCTGTTGACAACTTTGGGCAAAGCTGTGGGCCTCATGTTCTCTAATTTATGTGAGAAGCTGAAGAACAATCAGTTCAAGCTGGTTCTTCAAAGAGGCACAGCCTGTAACACACTTTTGGCAGGTCAGCATCTTTGCACTACAGCAAAGAGGTATCTGAGTCCAAAGAATTCTGAGATGTTCAGTAGGAGTCCACGAACAGGGCCCACGAAAACAAACACACACATTGCTACAAAGAGAAGAGCAAAGTTGCTGCTGTTTTTTTTTTTCCAGTTTTCCATGTAACTTTATTTCTCTGTTAACAAACAAGCATACTGCATAGTGTCCCCATCCCACTGCTCAGTGCAGTGTTATCAGAAATTTCCAACATTGTCAGCGGAGACACACAGGTGGCTAAGTGCTTGGGGAGGCAGTGGTGTGTGGAAAGGACTTTGTCTTTCTGCCACTCAGACTTGTGTTTAAATCTTAGCTGTGTCATCTTGGGCAACTCTCTTTTTCCTATTTTTCAAAGGGAAGAAAACAATACCTGGCTTGCAGGATTGATGTGACGGTTGAAAGTAATGGACATGACATTGCTTACACTCTACCTTTCCTTGTTACCTTCCATGTCCTGTTCTGTGGTTCCTACCCTGATGCTTCCACTGAAATTGCTCTGATCAGATGACCAGGGCCATCCCAGTTACTAAGTGACTGTCTTTGTCTTCTGTGGCTTCTCAGAAACATTGACCAATCCTACTCCCTTGAAACATTCTCTTCCCTTGGCTTGCAGGAACCACACTTTGATTACTTATTTCTAGCTCTGTGGACACTTCTCAGACTCCAGTGTCTTCTCCTCTTCCTCGTCCCCATCCTAAAGTTGTTGGTACTGAGTTTCTGTTCTGGATCCTCTTCTTCTGTACACCTCTGCTGGACAATCTCCTTCATATCCAAGACATCAATGATCATTTATATATTGGAGGGTCCAGTACATAATCTAGGTTCAAACAAACATACCCAAATCAGTCTCCAGATGGCACTGTTTGGGCACCACATGCTGGTGCAAGAAATCCAGAGGCCAGATCCATCCCCATCCCTCACTTCCCTCGCCGGGCCTTTGCTCCCCTCCTTTTCATGGGTCCTGGGGTCTCAGAGAGCCAACAGGTCTCCTGAGGAGGTGAAGTCCAATCCTGCCTGGCCCTATCTTGGTTTCTGCTAGCTTGGTGATTGCTGTCTGCTCAGCAGAGGCTGGGCCATAGCCGCATGTCTACAGTGATCACTAGTTATTGGGCAGAGGGTTGTCTTTGAGAGTAGTTACTCTTTGAGAGTGGGTTTTCAACTTCTCAAGTTTCCTCTTCAGGAAAGAGGCTGTCATTCAAGTCGCACAAAGCCTGCAGGATTAAAACTCATTCCACTTGTTCCCTCAGGTACTTCCTTAGGGTCCCAGGGTCAAAACAGTAGGAAAAGATCTGGTGTTAGTCACATAATGTCACAAGGTCACAGTGGACCAGAGCAGCTGGATGCTGAAGCATCTTTGATGGCATAAGGCCACACAGATACACAGAAGCATCTGAGCCTCCTCTTGAGAGGATTCAAGAAATGAGGTTATTTAGAACTGTGGGGGCAGCTTCAGTGGAAGACAGGGACACACAGGGGAAGTCTTGCCTTTGCTGGAGAAGCTCAATCGGTTCAGAGTGTGGTGCCAGTTGCTGTATCCAAGGGTGCTGATGGGAGCTCTTTCTCAGAAGATCTTGGAGTTAAGGCAGCCCACGTGTTAAAGCTCCAGAGATAGAGTGTGTGATCCTTCTCTCTTGATCCTTAAGTGTTAAAGATGTTAGAGATTGGTTCATGTACTTGGCCACCATCTAGGCTGGTTGCATGAGATCTGGGTTGGGATAGGTTTCAGACTCACAATCCCTTCTGTGGCAGTCGTTTATGCCACATTATGTCCCTTGTCTGTTCTCTTTTCGATCCACGCTTCACACTGCAGCCAAATGGATATTTCTACAAGTAGATCTGATCTAGAGTGATACTTCTATAAGTAGACCTGATCAAAATATCACCTAGTTGAAATCACTTTAGTAGTTCTCAGTTTTCTAAAATGTTACCTATAAACCCCTGATTTGGCTCCTGCTTCCTTCTTGGACTACTCTTTGACTGATGCTCCGTAGTCAGCCACACGGAACATAACTGGAAGTTGCATACTTAAAAGCCAAACCTCCACCTTATTCCTCCAGCTAAAACATCCTGCTATTCTTTTCTCAACTAATAATTTCGCTCACTTGTTTGTCCTTAGGTTAGATCTTACTTCCTCTAGGAAGCCTTCTCTGATCCACCCAGGCAAGAATACATGGCCTTTTGCAGGCTCCTCTTAAAACTGTTCTAGTGCTTATTTATGTATAATTCTGTCATAATTGCCTGTTTCTGCTAATTGCCCCTCACTGAAATACTGTGCCAAGGGTTTACAAAGATATGTCATTTAATCCTCACAACATCCTTGAGATGAATAATGTTCCCATTTTAGAAATGTGTCCATCATTTTAGAACAACAAACAGAGATGTAAGGTTAAGTGATTTAAATCAATAACTAGTTCATGGCGATGTGAGACTGAACCCATGAGCCTGTGTCCAAGCTCATGAGCTTAGCGACTATGCTGTGCTACACAACTGTAGTGTGTACAGACATGGCCTATGTTGTTCATTGCTGCATCCCCAGCATTCAGCACAATGCCTGGTACAGAACAGGTGCTCAGTAAATGTAGCTAAATAAATGAATAAAAGAAAGAATGAAAAGCTGCCTGGCAAATGATAGGCACATAGTAAAGACTAGCTCTTATTAAAAAAAAAAAACTCTTGTAAGCAACAAAGCAGAAAAAAGGGAAGAAAACCAGATAGCATCAGCTCATTTTCTAGTCAGAATATAGGAAACATCAGCGAAGTGTGGGGAAGCAGATAGTAGTTTCTGCATTTGCTTTTGAGGGAGGAGGCAGTTTCCACGGAGCTGGACTTGCTGAGCTCAGGGACTTGTTCTTGGCAGTTCAGGTTCTCGCTCTACCTTGAAAAACCACTGCGTCACCAAAGAACCGTCTCAGGTTTAGCACCATTCCCCACGAGGCTGTACATTCTCCTATATTTCCTTCGACACAACAGAGTATCTTTAAAAAGGTTCTCCCATGAAATAGAAGACAATCTCTGCTCACGGGAAAAGAAAAGATTTCTAGTAAGTTCAATACCAACCTGCCTTTGGCTGGTGTATAAATGGCAATATCAGAAGACTATTTTTTTTAGTAGGAATTTATATATGGTGAGTGAGGCTGGTAGAGTTTTTGGTATTTGAGTCTATAGCGTGGTTAAAGTGTTTTAGGGGTGAGTTTAAAAATTATAAATTAAAAAGTCATCCAAGTAACCCATGTACACATCATATAAAATGGCATGTAGGATTTATACTGAACACTTCCTATCTTTGGCATGGTCCTACTCACCATCAGTCTATGCAAAGACAACTAACTTTTTCTCCTTTTAGTTTTTCTGGTGATCAAATGCCATGTCCACCAAAACAAAAACAAAAAACAAAAAACTCAATACATTTTTGAAAACCAATAACTTGATTGCTTGATTTTTTTAGTGTGGTGGGCATTTGCCAGGTTTCTGAGGTCCAGTGTCTTCCTAATACCTTTCTCTATTTGAAGAGTTTTCTATGTTATGTTATGTATCATACCTCCCCAAGCTAGAAGCCAAAACTCATTCTCTGGCCTCCTTTGCTGGAAGAAAGCAGACTGTGACATAGGCTCTGCTAACCTGCCACACCACACTGGGCTGTCACTTAGGAGGGGGCAGAGGAGGGAGTTCTGTGTGGGGAGTTCACTTTTCTTCCGTGAGTGTGGTAGTAGTGCTTCAACTACTACTTGCAGCACTGTTTGGAGGGAATGGCAGCAGAATTTCTGCCATCCAGGCCTGAGTGTTGTTGGAGGGGCTGCAGGGGCTGCACCAGCTGCTGGAGTGGTGATAGAGAAATTTCCCCACAGCAGCTCGTATATAACAGCTCACTGCAGAGCCATCTGAGGAGCTGACATTTGCTTTTCCATTGCTATGAGTCTAATGCTGCCACTGTTGTGCCCACTTTGGCAGTGGAGTTGGGCTTGGCATTATGTGAAATTGCTTGACCGTGAACTTCTAGAGGATTCTGTGAGCTACCCAGTACCCTATTAGAAAGGTATTTTTTGCTTACTCATCCTGAGTTCTGCTGTTTGCAATAAAGAACTTTAAGTGATCCTTTTGATCAAGATCTATTGACCACTGCTATGAGAGATGAGCATTTATCTTACTTATGCATGCCCTACCTCTTTTTCTCCCTCCCTCCTTTTCTCCCTCCCTTTCAACTTTTTTGGTTTTAATTATTCTATGGGTTACCTAAATATTTTTAATAAACCTCCACCTCTTATTCTGTAAGCGTTATTTCTTGACTAAGAATAAGACCTTCACTCCTGCTCTTCCCTATACATCTCATCACTTTCACTACCCATCTTCTGTCAGCTGCTGCAGCACTTTTACTTTGTCAAAGTTGATAACATTTCTCTTCTATTCTGTGATCATAATTCAATCTCCTGTGCTTTATCTCTTGGTGGATTCTAAAACTGGAAAACTAGTAAGTGGCATTGACATAATAAAGACTATATAAATGTTGACTGCAGTGCCAAGTAAGGAGCTAATGATGACATTTCCTGCCCTGTAGGTCTCAGGTCGTGACTCCAGAGCTACTTGAAGCAGAGTGTTCCTAGCTTCAAGGTCACATCGGTTTTCTGTTCTTACATTTTATCAGTCACTCAAAATCAAGTGTTATTTTTCTTCCCCTGATTTTTGGGCCCTGGCTTAAAAAAATACCAGGTAGGTTTCTAATTGAGTTATTTTTTTCTTATTTGGAAAAGAATCTCAACTCTCTATCATAATCTCAACTGTATCCAGACCTTCAATAGTGTTAACTATTGTCTTGAATCCCTTTATCCTCTCATGGTGCCCCAGGATAGGGTCTCTCCCAGACTCTCCTATCCTGGACCTGTTGTTGTCCAGATCAGCTGCACAGCCACCATCCTTGGGCTTCCTATTAGTGACCTCCAGGATGAAAGTCTAGCCCTGGATTCCATGTCATCTTTCTGTTTTTTCTCCTTGTTTTACTAGTATATATACTCAGAAGACTTCCTCACACAGAAAGTGTGGTATATCATCTAGGTCTTTATCTGAAAATATTTTTATTTTACTCTCATACTGCAATGATAGTTTGGGCATAGAATTTTAGGCTCAAAAGATTTTTTTCCCTTAGCACTTTAAACACATTGTTTCATTATCTTCTGACTAATCTGACTAATGACGAGTTAGATGGTTCCCTGAATTTGTCTTTGGAAGCTTTATAATTTTTTTCTTTATGTTTGGTGTTCAGAAATTTCAAGAGGATGTGCTGGCTCAGTAGTTATTTTAATTCATCCTGCTCAGTACTCAATGGATTCATCAAATGTGAAGTATGCCCTATTATTTCTTTAAAAAATTCCCCCATCCATTTTCTCTGTCTTTTTCTATAATTCCTCTTAGCTACCTGATAGATTTCTGCAACTCCTGTATTATTTCTCTATGACTCTTACCTTTATCTTTCAAATTTGCCATCTCTTTGCCATTTGCTTTAAGCTCTAGGAGAGTATTTTGACTTTATATTTCAGCTGTTCTTTTGAATTTCATATTTTAGAGGTTAGATGTTTAATTTATAGGAACTCTTCTGTGTTCTCTGCTAGTTCTCTTTTCAGCCATACTATTCTTGTTTTATAAATGCAATATCTTCTCAAATTTCTTTAAAGATATTTATTAACAATTTAAAAAATCTCTTCTAGTTTTTGAATTATTTCTTTTCCTTTGAGACTATGTATGTTTTGGTCTTTCTTTTTTTAATTTTCTGCTTGTGGTTGTCCTTAAATGTCTGATGATTTTTTTGTAGATTCACATTGATGAGTGAAGGATTCGTTTCATAATAATAGCTACCTAGTAAAGGTTTCTTTTTAATTTGGGTTGATGATATGTTTCTTAATAGACATCTCCCCTGAATGGGAAGGCAGACACGAAATCTGCGCAAATGCATAGGGCTAACTGACAGATTTTGTTTTAGGATGTACATGTGTGGGAATCAGCCTTAGATGAGACATTCTGCTTCATCTCCACCCACCAAATGCCAGAATAAGGGGAGCTTTCCTCTTAGATCAACATCCCCGCTAAAATACAAATTTGTGAAGCATTCTATATTAAAAAAAATACAAATTCCTCCCCAGCTAGTTTATCCATTTGTCTTAGTGAAGAGTCTCTTGCTATTCTTCTGCCCTCTTTAGGAGATAAAAACCTGGTGCTCTCTGCCCTGTGTGGGAGTGGAGCCAGTAACCCTATGCCTAAATGCTGGCTGACATCTTGTGAGGCTGACTGGCAGCCACTTCCCCTGAAGTCCCCTCATACACATAATTGGGCTTTGGTTTCCTCTGTTTCATGTTCCCATCTGCTTCCATATTCAAGAAATGCATTGAAGTCTCCCATCTACAAAAGACCTTCATTGCTCCCAATTTCTTCACTGCTACAGATTTATTTATTTATGAACGTCCATACAGTTATTTAAGTGGAACCTCTGCCACAGGGAGTGGCACATGCATGTGCTATTCTACCTTATTCGCACTAGACACATGCCCACCTCCACAGTGCTGTTTTTAAAAATGGGATTTTTTTGTTGTTGAATGTGTTCTCATCTCTTATCTGTATTCCTACTACTTAACGTAATATTTCTGGAGACAAGAATAGGCTCTTGTTGAAGGAAAGAAAAAAGGAAAAGAAAGAAAGAAGGAAAGAAAGGAAGAAAGAAAACAAAGAGAAATAAAGCAGATTTAAATGAAAGCAAACAAATGAAGTAAATTGAGATAATAACAAGCAGTGCCACTCTCTCTTAAGTATGTATGATGAGCAGTTAAAAATAGTCAAGTTATTAATCCCTTTGAAAGACCTTGGCCTCATTGACCACCTTACCATGTGCCACACGTATTAAATGAACAGCTCCCAAGAGAAACCGGTTCTAAATATGTTAGCATGTTCTTGCCAGCAGGGTTCCTGGCACACTGGGGATACCTGCTCCAGAGTGTCTGTGGGAGAACTCAGACACATCATTCCCCCTCCGGCTGTTGAGGGCCTATTGATGAAAAGATGATACAACACAGACACTGCAAGTGTTTAAGACTCAAGTTTAAAAAACACACTTGCTACTTCATTTATTTTCTTCCCATGAAACTAATTGAGACCCTAAAACTCTATTACCATGAGGATAGAAAACTTAATGTCAGTCGCTGTCGTAATCTTCTCCTTACTAGGGCTCCAACAGACTCATGGAGCCCAAAATGTGGAGAGAAGCCAGATTACCCACATTAGAAATGCTGGCATCTTCATTGTACTTGAGGTCCAACAGATCTTTGCTGTGCCTAATGTCCAAAGAGGAAATTCAGGGCTTTGATACCATCTCTCTTTGAAGTCCAGTTACATTGTTGAGGCCCTGCATTGGAGTGGTAAGGGGGTCTCCCCTTCTTGAGAGGTCGAGGGACCTTTTACCTCTCTCTAAAGCACCCTATTGAGGTATTTTGGTGTAATCTCTTTAATTGTTGGAGGCTTTGGTAAATATCAAAGCTAAATCAATAGACCACTTCTACCTTCTGCCCTTCTTTGAGGCCATGAATCCAGAAGAGACCATCTGCCTCAATAGGAGTGGGGGCAGTGAGTGGGAGTGGAGGATAAAGGGGAGGAAGAGGGCAAATATCAGAAGAAGTAAAATCAGTTAATGTTTCAAAAATACTACTATGCCATAGTATGTACATTTAACCACAAAGGGCTACCTCACGGGCTATATGGGTGAATACGAAATGGCACCCAGGCCAGGATGAGTTGAAGTGGGTTAAGGTGAGTGGGAACAGGGGAGGGGTGGGAAAGATTTTTCTGGAGAGTTACCACTGAATTTATGACAGAACTTCTTGGAGAATTTGAGGAGATGAAAATAGCCTGTAGCTGTGGTGAATGCTTATTAGCTATGCCCACTCCACAGCCATGCCCCTCCCATAGCCACGCTCCCTCCCCCAGCACTTTGTCAAAGGCCTTTAGCCAAAGGCATGAGGTGCTGCATTCCTGAGGACTCCTGAGCCCAGACTGATGCTCCTGGAGGCCATGTGAATGTGAAGAATGCTCATCTTGTGTGGAGATTTTACTAATCTTTATAGGGAGCAGGACAAATATCTCCTGGAAAGTTCATGGCTACAAACATCAGTGCCTGTGGCATTCATACCATTGCCACAGAGCAGCCTCAGGATGCTGCCAGCTGATCTCACACATATTCCAAGGAACTCCAGTTTCAGGAGGAGACCGGCGCGGTCCCATTTGGATCCAGCTATGACATCTATTCACTTAAAAGCCATAAAGATTCATTTTGCCAAGGAAAAAGTATGGAAGAGGATTATGGACATTGACTCAAGCAGATACTCAAACCAAACCCATGGACCCGCTGGGCTGCATAGCTGGCGCTACCATGAACAAACACTGCTGCATGTGGCGCGGGCCCTGCCGCAGCCGTGGTCAGCTCCCTCTTATGTGCCCATGAGAAACAAAGTGCTGGGGGCCTGCTGGGTCCCACAAGAACTGGAAAGTCACCTGGCAGCTTTTCTGTCAGGCATATCTTCAGCCTTCTTCCCCCAAAGACTGGCTCCTCTGCTCATCGCTTGAGGCCACCAGCCTCAAGTCTGCATGACTTTGTCTTGACTCCCACTAGTAACGGACACAATCTTTCAGTGAGAGACCCAATTTCCTATGAGAGAGAATCTGATTTCCCAAGATTTAGTCGTGTCCACCATGCCCATAAAGCTGCTTCCTGGAAGAGATGAGTGTATTGATAAAAGCACAGTGGTCTGATTATGTCCCTCAGCCAAAGCTGCAGATGCGGGCAGATGATTTTACAAAAGCATGAAGGCTCCAAGACAATAATTAATGATTAACCACTTCAGTATCCTATTCTATTCATCCACAGCTAGTCGTTGATGTCACTAGTGCGGATACTGTAACAATCGTGTCTCATCTCAGGGCATGCTACATTTGATTTCAAAATTTTCAATATTTTCTATTTCTGATTTCAGGTGTGGTGCCACATTTACATGATGAGATAAATAGAAGATTACTTTACAGAATTATTTTAGAATGTTTCACATGGTTTTCAATAACTAAGGAACACCGTGATATCATCATTAGTGTTTGCTACATCAAGTGAAGGCATAGGCAGTAACACACATGCCTCGTCCAAAAAGAAATCAAAAGGGCTATTATTCTTCATGGGCCCATTTAATTTCCACTTTAACTTCTCCCAAAGACAACAATCAGCAATTTTATCACCTACTGGAGAAAGGTATTCCAGGGCCTCAGGGCTCATCAAAATGAATGTGTTTTCTATAACATCTAGTAGTTATTGACTCCTATACGCTAAGACATGTCGATAAACACAGGCCACCATTTTCTCTGTGCTATTTTAACTACTACCATTTTTGCATTTCAGCACAAGAGCTGCTCTTAGTCAGAAAATGCCAGATGGTACTGAGGAATCAGACTCATACTATTCCAGAGCAATGTCATCTGCAGAAGAGAGCCAGTAGCTAATTGACAGAGGTGCCCTTGTTGTTTTTATGGAAGTCAAGATGTCCTACTTCTATCACTAGACCTGTCCTTCTATAATTGGCTTGGGTCTCAAGCTCTCTTTGGAACTTTATTCTAGGTAGGATCTTGCCTCTTCAATTCTGTCTTCCGATATAACTCTACAGTTCCTTCTTCTTCTTCAAATGGTTTTTCTTTACTTCTCTAGCTTTGAGAAATCCATCCTTCTCTTCCTCAAAGTTATTTTAGTTTTTCTTTTCTTCACCAATCTTTGGGTAACTATTGTTTGTTATTAGAAATATCTTTTTAAAAAATGTATCTATTTTCTATCTTTACAGCCAACTGATATTTCCAGACAGCTAAATATTTTGCTTCTTTCTCTCCACTTTGGAGCTTCCATGGTGGTTTTCCCTTAGTGGGTGTCTAATTAATAGTTGTTGGTGAAGAGATTGCTGTCCTGAGACTTGCTGTATCCTGATCAGATCAGAAGAACAGTCCTATAGGGCATGATAAAATCAGGAATTAAATAGTGAAGTTTAGCCCAAACCAAGACACCATACGGTATCTTGGAGTAGATTTCCCCAGAAAATTGTTAGTTACTCAATAATTCACAGTTACAGAATGAGTCACAGAAGATATGGCCAGGAAATTCTTTTTTACATGTCATTCCAAAGTTAGCTTGTGAGTGCGGCCCAAGTCCAGTGATTTCCAATTATCTGTCTTTGGATGGATTTGCTATCACAGAGTCATGTATGAAATATTTGATTTCTGCATCCACCTTTCCAGGTCGGAATATCATAGCAATATGTGGAAATTTAGCAAAACAGAGGTAATTCTTTTTAAATTTTTTTTTATTTTTTAGAAATGTACTGGGGCAACTGTAACAGAAGTGATTCTGATAATCGTTTGAGAATGATTGTTCTAGGATAGTAGTTTTCAAAGTGTGGTTCCCAGACCGGTGCATCAATATCACCTGAGAGCTTGTTAGAAATGTAAAGTCTAGGGCCTAAAACGACTAACCAGAAACTCAGGGGTGGCCCAGCAGGTGTTCTCTGCTCCAGATGATTCTGAAACATGTGAGAATCACTGTTCTAGGGACATCTTATCATTATAAGAATCTATTATTTGTAGGGAAACTTTTTGGATAAAAATTTGTCTGATTGTTTACAAATATGTGACACTGCCAACAATTTGCGATCTTCTCATTTAACAGATTTTTTACTAAGTGTTCCTATATGCCAGATATTATGCTAGGAAATAGCATAATAGGAATAGAATGATTTATGGAAATGAAGAGACAAGTAAGTCTCAATATTCTGCCTTAAGGAGGCCTTAGACTCAAATGGGATATGCCATGTGAACAAATATGATTCGGTGCTATAAAATGTATGTATAAAAGGTTAATTCTGTTATGACAGATGTGGTCCAAGGAAGACTTTTGGGTTCTGCCCCAGTTCTGAACCCTGAGAATTACATGTAGAAGTTAGATAGGTGTTGAAATACCCACTTAAGACTTTAAACGACTTAAGCAAGTTTGAAGAATGAAACTTGGAACTTCTGGCCTTTGCAGTCCTCCTGTCCATGTGAAGACCTGCGGTTTACTGCAAGAGAGTAACTGAGTCTGCAGAGTGAATATTCACCTAGCCAGAGGTGTGACTACAGCCGGCCTCCCCATGGCAAGTGCAAAACAGCCCAGAAGAAGGAGGTCCCATGAAACCATGAGCTCTAGCATGGCTGTCCACCGGAGCAAGGGGGCGCCCTAATGCTGTATATTCTTGCCTTGTACCTCAGGAGCACTGAGTTAGGGGAGAAAGAGGTATTCCCTCCTGGGAATGACGTCTAAGTCCTTCCTCTTTAAGGAAAACACGTGGAACTAAGTAGTTAAGTGCCCTCTACCAAAAGCCAGGAGTTTGTAGGCAGATGAGCAGAAGGAGGGAGCATTTCATGTGGAGGGAAGGGCACAAGCAAAGATCCTGGGGCCTCAAATAACAAGGAAAATTTATAGAAGGTTGGTGTGGGGTTTGGTTGTTTAATTTTTCAGTTTTTATCTTCAGTTAGGGTCAGCAGACTAAATTACTTTAAACATTAGAAAAGGAATTTCACTGATTTTAAAACAGAAAAATGGGGCCGGACGCAGTGGCTCATGCCTGTAATCCCAGTACTTTGGGAGGCCGAGGCAGGTGGATCATTTGACATCAGGAGTTTGAGACCAGCCTGGCCAACATACTGAAACCACCCTGTCTCTACTAAAAATACAAAAAATAGCTGGGCGGGAGTGGCATGCGCCTGTAACCCCAACTACTCAGGAGGATGAGGCAGGAGACTTGCTTGAACCTGGCAGGCGGAAGTTGTGGTGAGCCGAGATCACACCACTGCACTCCATTCTGGGTGACAGAGTGAGATCTTGTCTCAAAAAAAAAAAAAAAAAAAAAAACCAACCAAACAAAAATAAACAAAAAACAAAAACAGAGAAAAAATTGAAAAGATATACTTGACCAGTAATTAGAGACTATAATAAAAGAAAATGAAATCATATTATAGGGTTTTATATTTACTTTATTTACATTTTATATTATTTACTTATAGCTGTACATTATTTATATTTATATCTTTTATTAAGAACTGGAAAAATATGGAAATGCATTCTCTACAATGTTAACAATGAGTACTTTGAAATGTGAATCTGTTGTTAGTATTATTATTATAATTTCAGAGAGAGGGTCTTGCTGGTTGCCCAGGCTGGAGTACAGTGGCACTACCATAGCGCACTGTAGCCTTGAACTCCTGGGTTCAAGCTATCCTCCTGCTTCAGCCTCTAAGTAGTTTGGACTATAGGCGAAATTATCGACAGCTTGAATCTTCTTTGCTTTGTGATTTTCCTTGTTTTTTCAGTTTTGGGAAGTGGCCATGTATTGCTTATACAATTAGGAAAAAAATGACAGTAGATCTTATTTATGAGGCAGAGCTGCACACTTGTCCAATGAATGGCCATGGATGATCTGTTCATTTTGCCTGTCTTAGTCATCAGTCTGGATGATGATACAAACACAAATGGCTGTGGCCATCATTAGTCGTCGTGAAATGGATGTAGCAGTTATGATTTGAGGAGGTTCATTTGCTGAATATACAGCCAATCTCAGCCTTTATTACCACTTTATCTTTTTTTGTAAATTTGTTTTTTTAATTAAAGAAATAGATTCAATTTGAAAATTGAGTTCTAAACAAAGTAGTTTTATCAACTATTTCTAAACATTCTATTGACTATTTTGGAATTGTTAAAAACAACATATTTCCTTTTTAAAGGTTCTTTGGCAAGAAAGTGGTTTAAATTCTTTATTTATTCTCCTTTTATGGATCGATTTACTTTTATATAGTTCATGAAAACAATCTAAATGTTTTTGTTTGTTTGTTTTGCTGAAATGCATCATAAAAGTGAAATCTCTAGTGGCAAACCTCGAATAAGTATTTTCCCCTTCTATCCTGCCCTTGCTTGTATTTTCTGAATTCATTTCTTTTTTTTCCAGAAATTTGGGGGATGCATGCAACTTTTCCCTTGTCTGAAGTGATAACTCTGCATTCATTCTTGACCACCATTAATCATGCATAGCTGTGCTCACTGAGGCAATGTTTTTGAGCCAATGGATGAACAAGATCTCATTAGCACTGGTTTCCATGGTTTATCGCTCATGGCCAATGTCACACAGAATTTTCAACCAGGATGGGAACGCCCAGCAGCTGGATGTCCAGCTGCCAATTCATCAATTTGAGAAGTGAGTCTGTTTCCGTCTAAGTTGTTGCATGCAAGGCATGGGGGGCTGATTCTGTGCCCACAGTGACTTCCTCCACCGTTTCTTTTCCAACCTCCGCCAACCCTGGTCATTGTCATCATCATCTCAGGCACATCACACACCCAGAAAGGCAATTCACAAACCACATGTTGGGTGAGATTTCCTCCAAAAGAATGGCAGGGGCAGGGGGCATAGAGACCCCACTCCTCATGGCAGTTCTACTGGGACTGGGGCAAACATGAAGAAATCATTACACCCATCTCTTTACCTCCACAATCTCCTTTGGAGATAGCATATCCATCCCTCCGGACAAGGAGGTGGTGAGGCTGGAGTCAATCCTATAGCAAAATGCTTAGACATGTGGGCAGGACCACCCAAGTCCTAGCCTGAAAAAGTTACTGCACCTGGAAGTAGGTCAGACAACCAGACCTAAGCAAGCTCAGTGGGGGATTGCCAAACAGAGCTGGGACGCTTGTATGATACCGAATGAATAGATGAGGGAGCAGCACACCAGGAATGTGCCGTGTAAGTTCAGTTCAGCTCCATCATCACTCTAGGAGGTAGAGACTCTGTTCTCATTTCCCAGAGGAATTAACTGAGAGTCACAGAGACTGAAGAACCCCAGTGAGCTGGGCAGTTATGGCATGCCTGTTTATTTACGTGTGTCTGATTTCGAAGCCACACTCTTCATATAACAGAGAGAGGGTTTGCACGTGTGTGTGTAATGCTTGCGCCTAGGTAAAGTATTAAATGTGTGCAACCTGATTAATATTGGTAACTGCCTCAGGGATTGAATAAAAGGGATTTAATGGAAGCACCATTTATTGAGGTGGGACAGAGTTGAGGAAGTGATAAGGCAAAGTCTAGCACTCAGGGACTTGAAACAGGAGGAAGCAGTTTCCAGTTCCAGGCCTGAAGGAACTGGCAGAGCTCTGGCTGTGGAGACACTGAGACAGGGCTACCACGGAGGCCTGGCAAGGACTGAGTAGGGAAGAGGACACGCTGATCCCACCCTGATCTGACCTCTTTCTCCTCCGGTCTCCTGCCAGTATCTCCTTTCCTATCCAGAAACCAGAGCTAGGGGGTCTGGCTGATGCTGTGTGTCAAAGTGGATGCCCTGGGGCCCAGGAGAAGGGCAGAGAACAATGAGGAGGGGCAAACGGAGGACAATAGCACAATAATCAACTAGAAACCTGGCCGCCTTGGAATCAAGTTAGAATTGCAGAGGGATGGAACCAATAGTATAATTTAGGAACAAAAAGAAGGAGGAGCAAACTGGACTCAAGGTCCATAGCTTCATCAGCCAGGAAGAAGAGGGACGTGGTGAGATGGAGCAGAGGAACATCACTAGGGCCACACTAAGTACACTGGGACTTCGAAGCGAGGATTCAAAATATTCCTGGGCCGAGTGCTGTGTAGCAGAGCAAGGGACTGAGAACTCCCAGCTATGTTTTGCTCTGGGTCTTGTAGGAGATATGCTTTATCTATTTCTGCTTCCTTCCAGCCCTCCTCCAACCTCTCCAGAAGTAGAGTGGCCTCATTCTTAGTAACCTCCCCCCAACCCCCACCCCAACAACTGCCACCTTCCCTGTGCAGGCGGCCCTCCCTCACTGTGGCCAGTAATAGCTAGGGGGTCTTAAGAACTGGGATTCTACCGTGGATGGTTGGATGACCAAAGGCCTGAGATTATGTGAACACCATTGCAAAGATTAGGCATGGTGTCACCCTAATAGGGCCTTGCTTGAGACAGATGTGGGTAATGTGAAAACCCCTGCAGTGATGGGTACCAATCTCCTATTGGGTGTAATTACTCAGTGGCTTCTGCTGGAATGAGCAGTTTGGAAACAGAGTGCCAGGTTTGATTAGCAGGTACACCAATCTCAGTCAGATTGTTCCATATTCTGAACTCCCATTCATTCCACATGAAGCGCACTAGTTGCAAAATGTTAAACAGGAAGCATGAAGTGCTGGGTCTTCATTCTGAGATGAGACCACAAGTAAGTACAGTTGTACCTCCATGGTTTTATAGGGCAGTAGATTCATCTAGGTGATCTGTTAGCCAGTCGTGTTTACTGAGCTCCTGCTGTATAAACTATGTGAAGTATTTTGATATGTGCATCATTTGTTTCCTAGAACAGCTTTGACAAATGACCACAAACTCGTGGCTTCAAACAGCAGAAATTTAACCTTTCACAATTCTGAAGCCAGAAGTCTAAGATGAAGGTGGCAGCAGGGCCACGCTTCCTCCAGTGGCTCCAGGGAAGGATCCTTCCTTGCCCCTTCCAACTCCTTGTAGCTTCTGTAGCTCCTTGTCTTATGGCAGCATAACTCCAACCTTTTTTTTAAAGTTTTATTTTAAGTTCAGGGGTACATGAGCCGGTTGGTTATATAGGTAAACATGTGTCACAGGAGTTAGTTGTACAGATTATTTCATCACCCAGGTATTAAGCCTAGTATTCATTAGTTATTTTTCCTGACCCTCTCCCTCCTCCCACTCTCCACCCTCCAATAGGCCCCAGTGTGTGTTGTTCCCCTTTAAATGCCCATGTGTTCTCATCATTTAGCATCCACTTATAAGTGAGAACATACAGTATTTGGTTTCCTGTTCTTCCATTAGTTTGCTAAGGATAATGGTCTCCAGCTCCATCCATATTACTCAAAATGTGGGATGCCTTTCTTTTTTATGGCTGCCTAGTATTCCGTGGCGTATATGTACCAGATTTCCATTATTCAGTCTTCCACTGATGGGCATTTAGGTTGATTCCATGTCTTTGTGCTTGTGAATAGTGCTGTGATGAATATAAAATGGAGAAAAAGGAACGCTTATACACTATTAGTGGGAGTGTAAATTAGTTCAATCATCGTAGGAGACAGTGTGGTGATTCCTCAAAGACCTAAAAACAGAAATACCATCTCACCCAGCAATCTCATTACTGGGTGTATGCCCAAAGGAATATGAATCGTTCTATTATAAAGACACATTGCTCCAATTTTTGCCTCTGTTTTTACATGGTCTCCCTTGTGTCCAAATCTCCCTCTCTTTTCTTGTGTAAGGAGACAAGTTATTGGTTTTAGGGCCCACCCTAAATCCAGGAAGATTTTATCTTGAGACCCTTAACGAATTACATCTTCGAAGACCCTATTTCCAAGTAAGATCACATTCTGAGGTGTTGAGTGACCGTGAATTTAGGAGATACTATTTTAACATATTATAACATGATTTAAATCTAGCCCTGTTCTTGGGAACATTAGTGTGCCTTATTTCCTCATATATTCTTTCCTTATTCCCACTTTTCCTAGAAAGTTATGTGCAAAGCGTTTCTGTGTATGTGTGTATGTGCGTGTGTGTGTGATTATTCACTTTGGAATAAGCTGAGTGCTATCTCCACCCCCTCTTGTCTTTCCTAAATTGTCTTATTTCATGGTGGAATTTTCATCTTCCTGCTTATACTTTACTGGGTACTATAAATCCAAGTGTACCAATTTGTTTTAATGAAAAAGAAATCTTTCTTGCTCTTGATGTTCAGCCCTCATGCTCCTGCACTCCCCAGGATCTTCTCAGGGCCTCATTTTCATCCAAAGTCTGCAGACAGTTCACTGCATCATTAAATTAGAAAAGGAGAACCCTTTTCTTGAGTTCAAAATTGTTTCCATTTTGTGGCCTATTGATTTCCTGTATATTTCCAGGACAGGAGGTGCGGGTGTGTCCCGCAGGTGGAGGGATTTCCTGCAAATGTGCCAAGCAACCACCATTTCCCACATTCCTGGCCTCCTCCAAAACAGACATTGGACTTACCACTAGATCCAATCTCTAAACATAGAATATTAAGGCCTCCACTCAAAGCCCAAGTAAAAATACTAAAAGAATAGGAATTTGTGCCTATGTGAAATTTTAAATTTACAGTATTTCTGCCTGTTACCTTAGGCCATCTGGAGAGGTGAGATTCTGGGGTCCTTCTCAGAAGAATGGCAAGCCTGATCTTGCCTTCTGGCTTGTTTCTGTTAAGAAGAGAAGTAAAGAATAATAGCTACAGTGGTGGCTAAAATTTGCTGAGTGCTTTTGATATGCTGTCAAATAGCTTTAAGTAGATTTTCTTAATCATTTCTTATAACAGCCCTATGAGGTGATCACAGGCTTATGGATGGGGAACTGGGGCTTTGAGAGGTTAAGTACCTTTGCATCTTAATGGTTTCTGATAACATTTATTTCTACATTTCTCCTTTTCCCTCACATCAGTCAGGGTCCCCATGGAAAACCGTGGCTCATTCATCTTTAGATAACTCAAGAGGGGGTTATTTTTAAAAGTGCTATTTACTGAGGTTCAGGAGAGCAGAGAGGAACCACAGGAATGGTGCAGATAGTCAGGATTAGTAGTGTCAGAGCTGCTACCACCCCCAGGCCCCAATGACAAAGAGTGGAAATGATTCCTGGAATCCGGAAGGGAAGGATTGGGTAGAGGAGACCACCTGGTGAGAGCAGTGACCTTCAGTTAGCAAGAAAGCCAGCCTGAGGTGACCTTGAAAGGATAGTAGATACCCTGACCTTGCTCTTTTCACATAAGCTATCAAAGACTTTCAGGAGGTGTCTCGAGGGAGGGTAGCCAACTCGTCCCGGTTTGCCCAGGACTTTCTCAGCTTTAACACCAAAAAGCCCCATGTCCCAAGAACCTCCTTAGTCTCAGGTAAACCAGAATAGTTGTTTACACTAGCTCTAGGTTTCTGAGCCATGGGGGCCGGGGGTGGGGTGCTGCCCTGGGTACCCGGATAGAGGGATGGCTGGCTGGTGGGCTTGTGGAGGCCTGACGCCACCCATCCATCCACTCCATCATTCATTCATTAGCTCAACAAGTATTTATTGAACACCTATTATATGCCAGGTACTAGTCTAGCTATTGGGTATTCTGCAGTAAACAAGATGAAGATCCTACCTAGCAGAGAGTGAGGAAGTCAGATGATAAACAAGAAAACATATAAATATGTGATACAATTTCAAGCAGCAATACATGCTATGAGGAAGAAAGTGGGGTTCTCCAGATACAGACTGAAGGCTGTGACTATGTGGACATGTTTTCCCTTGGTCAGGGCAGTCTCCCTGAAGAGATGCCTGTAAGCAGAGCCCTGGTCCCAGAATATGGGCCAACTGTGACTGCGTGTGGGAGCTTGTTCATGCACTCTCGTCTTCTGTGGCTTCCCTTCAGCCTCCAAAGCGTGTCTCTTCTCCCTGTGCCCTTCTCTCCTTCAATTCCAAAGACAATTCCTTTGCTTTACCTCTGCCAGAATGAATAGTCTCTGAAAGAGGCAATGTTTGAAGCTGCTACCAGTCATTTATATCTTCGAGCTATCAGATAGTCCAGAGGCAGTGTGGAGAGAGGTTGGTGGTTCCACCTGTGGTCATGGGAAATAATGGCAGACGGAGCCGTGAGGGGAGGAAGCGAGAGGAGGGAAGACTTGGGAAGGCTGAGGCCAGAGAAGACAAACTCTCTAAATTTTGCTTAGGGAGATTCCAAATACTTCTTGAAGAGTTCATTGTAGCTTCTGGGTTCTGTCTCTTCTACATGAAGTCAGAACCAGGAGACCTAAAACCATTTTGAGAAGGCTTTCTGTGGAGAGATGAAGGCCCGGCGAGGCTAAGGGAGTTAGAATGCCTTGCCCACTGCCTCCTGTGTGATGAGCATTACTGACCTTCTCCTGGGATTATTCACACTGGACCCCGATGCTCTCATTTCTACCATTCTATATCATACAAAAAGATATGGGGAGCTAAACTGAAGCCCAGAGATTCCCAGAAATTTCGTGGTGTTAATGAAGAAAATATATATAACTTCATTCAAAAAGGGAAAAAAAAAGCCTTTGTTTTATCTCGAGATTCCTCCTCTTAGTTCAATAACCATGAAGCCAATATACCACTATCGAACTTCCTTTGCCTCTGGAATTTAAAGGAACATAAAAAGCACTAATTGATGGCTTGTTCTTAGACCACAGGAAACCACTAGTCACTATCCATTAACAGCTGCTTTTCAAGAATATTTTCCTCGTCTCCATCAGGAAGAAATAGATGACAAAGCAAAACTAAAAAGCTATTTGTTACATTCCAGTCAGAGGAGCTAAACTCAGTATTCCTGGACAGCCACATACTTGTACGTGACATACATTCATTATGCTTGCAAGTGGTTTGTTGGTTTGTTTATGGCCTGTTGGTTTTGCTTTGCAACCAAGATACATCACAGGAGTGCTAGGCTCTGAGTAGTTCTTCAGGGAGTTGTACTCACAGTAAAGTCAGTAACCCACTGTCTGCAGAATTTGGTAATGGCATATATGTATATTTCAATGCTTAGAGGAGAGAGACAACTTTTAAACTGATGGATTTCCCTTGTTTTTATACATTTTCCCCCAAAGAACACCAATTCCTGATAAACTAATTCAACATAAAGAAAAAGTTGAGAAGTTGAGTCGGACAGTTTGTTCTCATCTTACTGATGTAAATTGAGGACAAGGTGCCAGTCTTGATTTGGAGTTTTCAGCTTCTTGTCAGTCTGTGTCGTGGCCTGAAGAACTCTATCTAGAGAGAAATTGGCAAAAAATTCCCCAGAATATTATTTTTCTAAAAGAAAAATCTCCAATAGAACCTCATGTAGCCTCCTTATTTCCCCAGTGCTGAGTAGAACATTCCTTCAGAAGTGGATTTTCAGCCATAATGGCTGTTTCCCTAGGTGAATTAAAGATGTCATGTGCTTCCTGGTTTCCAAAGAAAGGTGGAATCTAACAGATCACTTAACTTGGGTAGTTTTAGAAATACCCAAATTGGCATTTACATACAAATATTTTGGTAAGACACCTGTCTTAGAACCTTCTGTTTTGGTGGAGGTTATAGGATGGTTAGTATGAACCATCGGAACTTTCTTCAGTGCTTGGTAAAAGTGTACACCTGGGTTCCTTCTCTGACCTAAGTCTCTTCAGATATAGGGCTAGGGGTCTGCATATTTAACAAGATCTGCACTTGAACTTTATACTCTTCAATCTTGAGAACCTTTGCTGTAAACTGAACCACCACCCATGAGAGAATTTAGCATATTTTCTTCATCTGAAATCTTGACAAATGGAAAGGATTATACAAGTTTGCCCTCGTTCTTTAATTTCTAATCCAAAGTAGAAGGCAGGAGATGGACAGTAGGCGTGGTTGAGAGTCTACATGGCATGTAGGATAGTTTAACACACATTTATCGAGTAACTTTTTTATAGCAAGCACTGGGCTAGGCAAATGGAGAAGTACAGATAAATGAGACATGGTGCTCGCCTGCAAGAAGCTTACACATAATAGAGAAGGCAAATAACTCTTGTAAAACATGGTGGATGCAAAGCTGAAGTCCTGCACAGAGGTCTTGGAGAAGAAAATGAAGTACTGGACATATTTCCAACTTCCTAATCAGGGTACACCTAACATACGGTGAAATGCGTATGTCTTAAGTTCATGGCTAAATGAATTTTTACATATGTATGTATAGACCCATTTTAACCACCACATAGATCAAGATATAGATCATTTTCAGCACTCTAAAAGGCTCCTTCATGCCCCTTCACCACCAGTAATGCCCCCCAAACGTAGCTACTCTTCTGACCTCTGTCATCAGGGATTAGTCTGGGCTGTTTTAAAACTTCATGTAAATTGAGTTACCCAGTATGTACTCCTTTTGTCTGGGTTAGTTCATTCAACATTATGCTGTAAGATTTTATTCACTTTGTTTCCTTTAGCAGTCTTCCTTCATTGTTCTGTAGTCTTCCACTGGGTAGATATACTATAATTTATTTATTCTACCCTTGCTGGTCATTTGGGTTGTTTCCAGTTTGGGGCTGTTATGAATAAAGCTAACTGTGGACACATCTTTTGGTGTGCATAAGCACTCGAATCTATTGGCTTTATTCCTGTAAGTGAAATTGTTAGGTCACAGTGCTGCATATGTTTATGTTCAGATAAAATTGCCAACAGTTATCTAGAGTGGCGTTGCATTTTCCGTTCTCAGCAGCAGCATAGAAGGGTCTCAGTTGTTCTCTGTCTTTACATTTGGTGTTCTCAGTCCTTCTAATCTTGTTCATTTCTCTCTCTCTCTGTCTCTCTGTGAGTGCGTGTGTGTGTGTGTGTACATGCACCTGGATGCATGTACATGTGGGATGGGTATTTGTTAGTGTCTCAGTTATGGTGTTAACTTTTTATTTACTTACTGGCCCTTTAGATAACTTGTTTGTGAAATGCAGTTTCAAGTCTTTTACTTACTTTTTTAACCTAGATTGTCTTTTTCTCATGGATTTGTAGGAGTTTTATAATATATTCTAGTTTACAAGTCTTTTGTTAGATATATGTACTGCAAATATCTTGTCCCAGCTTGGGGCTTGCCTTGTCACTCTTTTAATGATGTATTATGAAACTCACTTTTTCTTTCCTTCTTTCCTTTCTTTTTTTCTTTCCTTCCTCCCTCCCTTTCTTCTTTTTGAAACATTTAACTGAAAAATAAAAATTGTATATGTTCAAGGTATACAATGTGATTTCATATATGTATACATTGTATAATTATCGAAATCAAAATAACACATCCTCTGTCACCCATAATTACTGTATGTGTGTGTGTGTGTGTGTGTGTGTGTGTGTGTGTGTGGTGGGGTGAGGACACATAAAATATGCTCTTTTATCAAATTTCAAGTAAATAATACAATATTTTTAGTTATAGTCAACCTGCTATACATTAGGTCCCCAGAATGTATTGATCTTATAACTGAAGGTTTGTACACTTTGACCAACATCTCCCATTTCTCTAATCCCCAGCCCTTGGAAACTAGGAGCTCTCTTTGTTTCTCTGAGTTAGACTTTTTATAATTCCATGTATAAGTGAGATCATACAGTATTTGTCTTTCTGTGTCTAGTTTCACCCAGCATGATGTTCTCCGTGCTTATCCATGTTGTCACAGATGGCAGGATTTCTTTCTCTTTATGGCTGAATCATCTCTGTGTGTGTTGGGGGGGAGTGTGTGTGGGGGTGGGGGGAGGGATGGGTGTGTGTATGTGTGTATCACATTTTCTTTTATCCATACATTCATTGATGGACACGTACATTGTTTCTGTATCTTGTCTATTGTAAATAATGCTGGGATAAACATGAGAGTGCAGACATTTCTTTGACGCACTAATTTATTTTCTTTGGATATATGTTCAGAAGTGGGATGGCTGGATCATATGGCACTTCTATTTATTAATTTTTTGTGGAATCTCCATTATGTTTTCCATAATGGCTGTACCAATTTTAATTCCAACCAATAGTGTACAGGATTTTCTTTTCTCTATACCCTGGCCAACACTTACCATCTCTTATCTTTTTGATAGTTACCATCTTAACAGATGTAAAGAGATATGTCATTGTAGTTTAATTTGCAGTTTTCTGAGGATTAGTGATCTTAACCACCTTTTCATATACCTGTTTACCATTTGTATGTCTTCTTTAGAAAAATGTCTATTCAGCTTCTTTGCCCATTTTATAATTGTGTTGTTTCTTTTTTCTTTTTTTTTTTTTTACTTTCAATGTGAGTTTTAAAAATATATTTTGGATATTAACCCTTTATCAGATATATGGCTTGCAAATATTTTCTCCCACCCTGTAGGTTGCCTTTTCATTTTGTTGATTGTTTCCTTTGCGGTGCGGCAGCTTGTTATTTTGATGCAGTCCCACTTGTTTATTTTGTTTTTTGTTGCCTGTGCTTTTGGCGTCATGTTAAAAAATCATTGCCAAGACCAATGTCAGGGAACTTTTTCTTTTCACTTTCTTCTAGGAGTTTTATAGTTTTAGATCTTATATTTAAGTCTTAAATCTATTTTGAGTTCATTTTTGTATACTGTAAAAAGCAAGGGCCCAGTATTACTCTATTTTGTGTAGATATCCAGTTTCCTCAACCTCATTTACTGAAAAAACTGTCCTTTCCTCATTGTGTATTCTTGGTGCTCTGGTCAAAGATTAGTTGACCATATATGCCTGGGTTTATTTATGGGCTCTCTATTCTATTCCACTGGTATGTCTGTTTTTACACCAATATCATGCAGTTTTGATTACTATAGCTTTGTCAAATAGTTTGCGATTAGGGAATGAACACAGTCTAACTTATTGGCATGCAGTCCTAACACTTCCGTCACACAGTCCCAGCCTCCCTGACTTTTAAAAACCCCATCTTGGTGTTGGGGGCTTCCTTAGCCTTCTTTACATGAGTATTTCCCTCTATTAAGAGGAAAAATGGATAAATCTTTGTTTTGGATCCCATAAATGCAAATTGCTTATAACGTTGAACAACGTTCAATCCTTTATTTTGGATTTCTGTTTCCTTAGCCTGTACTCAAGACCTGGGTGACAACTTTAACCACATGGAGCCACGCCCACCCTTTTCAGCACTGGACTGAGCTGTCTGCAGCCCCACCCACCCCAAATGTAATCTCTCTCTTCCCCACTGGCTTCCCACTGGGTCCCCACCAGCATCTACTCTTCCCTTGCTGGTTTTTTAACTTTGCTGTGACCACCGCTGCTTCTCTTGGCAGAGACCCCCTCAAACGCTCCCAGTGCTGTTGTAGAAGTTGGAAGACATTTTCCCATCTCATGATTACAACCAGCTAGGCATGGTTCAGGCTTTCAGTGACCAATACTCTTCTGGAGGCTTCCTAATAGGTAGCCAGTCCTATTCTTTGAGGTTTGAGTCTCCCTTGCCAAGCAACTTGGAATGTATTTTCCCAAGACCAGACTGCAAGACATCTGAGTTCACTTGGGTCATCCTAAGGAAAATATTTCAGTCTAGAAAGATGATTGTGGTAGCCTTTGAATACTTTCCTAAAGTGATATCACTCTGAGAGCCTCCTACTCATCCCTGTCACCATGTCCGATGGCTTCCTTGTTTTCTGTCACTATGCTGTCTCCAACATTGCTGTGGGGTGCAATTCAGCCCAGGCAGAAAAGATGAGTTACAAAAGCACCAAACAAAATCAGTTACTGGTATCCCATACTTCCATATGACTGAAGCCCTTCTTCTTGGCCACTTGTCCTAGAGGGCACCTGTAAACAAAGAGCCCAGACATAACTCTTCTCATTGAATGTCTTTCTTTAGCACATTCATGAGGAAATAAACTCCCAAGCCCTTTTCTTCTCTTCTCTTTCATTTGTACGAGTGGAATTGTGATAAAGCATTGTCTTCTGAAAGACTAATTTTCTAATACCAAGTGGAGTGTTGCCCAATGTGCCCTGGTGCTGGTAGTCTCAGAGAGCCCTGTGCTGAGGGCTCATTGCTTTGCTCATTCTCTCGGTAATCAAACTGGTGTGTCAGATGTGACAAGAGCATCCGACATGGAAGAAAGGACAGTAATTGCTTTGCTGAAGGAAAAAAAAAATGGACTTGTCTTTTGTGGATTGCTTGGACTCCTGGAAGCTGTGAAACTGCACCTTCCAGTTCATTTCCCTGGATAATTGATGTTTTCTTCCTTTGAAATAAAGATAAAAATTCTTTATTTTGTTTTCCACTGTGGGAAGATGGGATTCCACCCACAGCACACTTCTTCATCACAGAAGTTAATAGTCATGATTAAGTCTGGGAAATATCCCAATCAAACGTCACATGCCACCAAACAGCAGGAGCTGAAGGCTTTTGGTTACTTTGTTGGCTACTGCTGGCTCTGAATCTCCCTTATGAGCTGATGTGTATCTTGTCAGCAGATTTGGACATTGAGACTTTTCAAAATCCCCTTAAAATAGATGTTTCTAAAACCCAGGAGACTTTTCCATCTGTCTCCTTTGCAGAATTCATGTTGGGGTGGAGGAAATCATGCAGCCTTTTAGAGTCTGAGAATCACCTTGTGAATATTCTCTGTTTAATAACACATAGACTTGACTTTCCCAGTGAATTTATTACCTACTGTTCATTTTTTAAGAAAAATATAATCTTTGGGTTTCTGCTTCATTTGAACTGAAATCATAAAGATGTTACTCTGCACGTATTATATTTCGTAAGAGAATCATTGCTCGAGTAAGACTTCAAAAAATTTCAGAAAATATTTTAACTAATTGAAAATGGAATTTCATTTTGGTTTGGGGCTCAGAGTTTATAAATTTGGAGTGGGTTCTAAAATTAGCCATGAGCTACTCCCAAGCTGGTTTGAGTGGGAAAAATAAATAAATCAAAGAAAAGAAAATGCTGAGATAGCCTCTTGGTTCTCTTCAGAGCTTTCAGAGTATCCTGGTAACTTTCTAGGCCATCAGTGGTCAAAGGCAATTGGTCCCTGTAGTTTCATATGGAACATTTCCTTCCAGAATATACTTTCTTTATAATACTGCAAGACACACTGTCATCATTGGCTTGAGAAGACAGCATACTTGAAAGAACTTTGGCTGAAGAATTAATTTCTTTACCCCTTCCCATAGAATCCTAAGTTTATAAACCCCTGTAGCCCAATTCAGATCTTTAGTTTTACCCACCATTACAATTTGAAAATATTTAGTTTAGTTTCTCTTCAATGAACTCCAAGATCTTGCCAATGTTGGTCTGTTTTAGTTCAATTTTAAGACATATGTAACTGGCGCAGCTAATTTAACCAGACAAATGAAGTGCTTTTCTTAGAATTGAACACACACTCTAACACACGCTCTAAAATCTGAAGATCTTCTCACTTCCATTCAAAGCACAAATAATCAGCCAAGCAAAACGATCCTCTTTAGCCAATTAAGAATCCAAACTCCTGTTATCCAGTAAGTGGAAAGCACACCCTGGGACAGAAGACTGGTGGCACTGTTCTCCGGGTGAGCAATAAAACATTTACCCCGAGTCACCAAGCTGAACTGTGCCTTTCACATCTTGCAAGTCTTGATTATATCGTTTCACTAGTCATGAGCTGCAGTTCCTGAAAATGCTGCCAAGGGGCCTGGCATTGTAGAAATTTGCCCTACCTCTTTGTGGACATGATAGATAGCCACGATCTAATTCTGCGTCACCAAGCTAGTCTGCAGCTAGGCTTTGCTATCTGCAGCCATCTGTCCTGTAGTTCTAGAAGCCCAAAGGGACTCAGGGAGTACTTCTACATGGAGTGGCTATAACTTTAGCCGTCCTGGAAAAATGGGTAGATTCAGACTCTGTGCACATGCAGGCAGTGTACTTTATTTCTCCTCTCAGGAGAAATAAAGGTTCCCAGGTCTCTGTGCTCTAGGAATGCTCTGAATTTTAGAGCACAGTTTAGTCATTTTCTCCTCTGGGATCTTTTTGCTTCCAACTTGTGTAAAAAGTAAAGTAGAGGTTCCTCTTCAAAGACTTTCCTCCCCATCTAATTAGGAAGAAATAGTAACTTCTCTTAGAAGCAAAATTTATTCAAAGACCTGTGCTAACATTCTTAAATATCTGCTAGCCATAATAAAGCAATCAATGTACTTTATGTTCTTAGCTCCCACAATTTAGCCTAAATATCTGCCCTGGTATGCTTATACTGGCCCAAGCAAGCATTAGGTCATAGCCCTTTTCTCTTCCTTATTTGAAGGTGTTTTTACCTTTCTCAGCATTCCACAAGTTACTTCCTCCTTCCTTTGTTCTCCTCTGCCTTTGCCTCTTTAAAAAAGTTCTAAGTTGCTAGCCATTCGGGACAAATACAGAATGTGAGGTCCCGTTCCAGCCAGTGGAAACCGGACACAGCAGTAGGGTGGACGCTTCAGTTTATAAATGACCCTGTCTCCTTTGTTCGTTGTACTCTCCTGGCAAAACTGCTGGTGAGTGTACCCTTTCTGCAGAAAGTATAAAAATGGCCTTGCTGAGGAAATTCAATCTATGTTCAAGTGCTATTTCTTTACAGCACCGGGGAACAAGCATTTCAAACACTCGGATTCAGTACAGCTCCCCAACCCCATCAACTAATGTGCATATTGTAATTGTTGGTTTATGTCTGCCTCTCTCAGTAGAATGTATTCTCAGTGTCTTGAGCTCCTGCTTCAGTGCTTCACACATAATTTTGCTGAATGAATTATTGTGAGCTGGACAGATGGCCATGCCATGAAGTGTGGGTCTCAGCAAACTTTTGCCTCATGAAATTAGCCCTTTCTTGACAGTGGGATGCCACGCTGCTTGTCCATGAAGGCTGGCTTATGTATATTCTCCACTGAGCCCTGAAACACTGATGCCCTTGAGCAGAAGCACAGAGAGTCCGTTCTGGAGAACGGCCACAGCCTGAAGTCCTAGGGACAGTCTAGTTAGCTCCTGCTCTTTGGTGGCTAACTTTGCACCATCAGTTCAAGGGCAGAGAAGCATCTTCCCCTGTGTGGCAATGGGGACCGAGTGGGCCCCTGTTCTCTGGGTCATTAGGAGAGTGTGAGTATGCATGTGACTAAGGACATTCCTTTTTCAGCTAGCCAGCCCTGGAAGTCAGAAGATGTGTCGATGAAAAGAGTTAAATTCTGTACAATATTTGAAGAGATTTATTCTGAGCCAAATACGAATGACTATGGTCTGTGACACAGCCCTCAGGAGGTCCTGAGAACATGTGCCCAAGGTAGTCAGAGTGCAGCTTGGTTTTATAGATTTTAGGGAGGCATGAGACATCAATCAAATACATTAAGGAATACATTGTTTTTTTTCCAGAAAGGCGGGACAGTTTGATATGGTGGGGGCTTCCAGGCTATAGGTAAATTTAAACATTTGCTGGTTGACAAATGGTCGAGTTTGTCTAAAGACCTGGGATTGATAGAAATGAAATTTTCAGGTTAAGATAAAAGACTTGGAGACCAAGGTGCCTTTGAAGCCTTATAGTGGCTGCCCTTAGAGACAATAGATGGCAAATGTTGCCTATTCAGATCTTTAAAAGGTGCTAGACTCTTAGGTCTAATCTCTTTAGGATTGGGAGGGCCTGGAAGAAAAAGATCTAGCTATATTAATAGAGATTCTTTACATATGCAAATTTTCCCCCACAGAGGATGGCTTGCGGGGCCATTTCAAGATATGGCAAAGAAATATGTTTTGGGGAAAATATTTTGGTTTCCTTCCTTGTCTCATAATGTTATACCAGAGTCAGGTTGGAAAATAAGTCATGATATATAGGGTTAAATAAAACCTATCTGATGAGAATTTATGGTTTGTAGAGCATGACACCCCAGACTCCTTAGATAGGAATTTGGGCAAGATAAAAGAAATCAGAGCTTAGTCCTCAGGGGGAAATATTTGTTTTGCACATGGTAATAAGTTTCAGAGTGGCCGTGCTAAGGCAATCTGACTCGTCCAAATTGTGACCCCTGTGTCCTAACTCAGAGCCACAAAACCATCCTGATTGCTAACAGACGCCATGTGGTTATAAACAGATAGAAGTCTTTCTATGTAAGGAAATGGGAAGTCGGGGGTTGTATTACAAAGGTTTGAATGTAGACAAAAACTTTTCTGATTCCCTGAACTGGAGGGCAGTTTGTCCTTTAAAGCAACTAGGTTCTCATTTCAGCCTTTGCTCAGAGGAAAAGTTACTTTTTTGGGTATTGATTTAGGTCAGTTTAATTTCTATTTGTTTGACCCACAGCTTAGATTTATTTTTCTTCTTTTGGGATTCCGTCATTTATAGCTGAAGAGGTAAAGCTTAATCTACAGCCTTGCAAAGTGAAGTCAATGATACCAAGTCTCAAGATTCCTAGTGGGATTGTCTCAGAAACCAAGAAGGAAGGGGCTTCAAACTTTTCCATTAGAAAGACATTTTCTATTGAAACCATTTATTTAATCTCTCTATGCCTCCACTTCTCCATTAATTTGTTTATGCTGTGCACTTATTTAGCTCAGCTGCCTATTTATTCAACAGATATTTGCATAGCATATATCAATGTCAAAACCAGAATTTAGCAGATTGAAAAACAAGACAAATCAATGGTCTCAGAATTTAATAACAAATGCTAGAGCTTCCAGAAGAGAGCATCTCCCATGGCCTGTCTTGGATTTTAGATCTCTGACGTAAAGGCCAGGGCTAGAATTGACTACCCCTCCCCTTATCCCCTCAGTCCTTCTGTAAGAATACTGCTTCTGCTTTACATTTTCCATATTCATAATTTCTTTTCTAATTACAAAAGTAATATGTTTATTATGGAAATTGAAAAATCCAAAAAGGTTTTAAAAAAGGAGAAAGAAAAAAATTATTCTAAAAGAGTTGCTGTGAGCATGTTAATGTAATTTCTCTCTTTTCTGTTGTTTAAAAATCTAGTCAAGAATATTTTACATAGACCACCTTATTTTCCAGTTTTCACCTAATGTTATAACATAAGCATTTCCTTTTGTTACTCTAAACTATCTATATTATTTTAATGGAGATACATTCTTCATTCTATAGGTATAACCTTATTCACTTAAGTAATCTTTTGTTTGAGAGTATCTTTTCCCTTAGTTTTGTAAGCTTTTTTCTTATAAACAATACTGCTATAGTGTTTTTGTGGATGGAAGCTTTATACAATTCAGATTTTTTTTTTTCGAAGGAAAACTCCCCAGAGTATAATTACTGGATAAAACATGAATGGATGTTTTCAAGACTATTGACATGGATTGTCAAATTACTTTCCAAAAGGGTTTTGCCATCTGCATTTCTTCTCCTGTGTCAGGATGTCTAGTTTAGCTGTGTCCATCGTTAAGGAGGTAGGATGCATAGTTAAGAACCTAGGCTCAGAACCGGATTGCTCAACTGAAGTGCTTGGTCTGCCACTTACTCTGTGATCTCGGACACTTTACTTAATCTCTCTATGTCTCTGTTCTCCCTTTGAAGAATGAAGACAAAAATAGTACTTCCTCATAGTGAGAATAAAATGAATTAATATATGCGAAGAGATTAGAATTTGCCTGGCATGTGGTATGTGCTATTTTAATATTAGCTATTATTACCCCATCTACTATCATGGATAAGACTTAGGCAAAAGATAACCGATGAAAATCTAACAGTGTCCTACATCAGGGTGTGGTGACTTGAGTAGTGTCCCCCAAATTTCATGTCTACTCTGAAACCTCAGAATGTGACCTTAGTGGAAATAGAGACTTTGCATATGTCATCAAATGAAGAGGCAGTCATACTGGGTCAGGGTGGACCCGAATCCAATGGCTGGTATCCCTACAGGAAGAGGAGGGAACACACAGAGACAGAGGAGAAGGCCCTATGAAGATGGAGGCAGAGACTGCAGTTATGTTTCCACAGCCTGAGGAACGCCTGTGGCCACCAGCAGCTGGAGGAGGCAAGGAAGGATTCTTAGAGCCTTCAGTGGAAGTATGTATGGGCCCACTGCACCTTGATTTCTGACCTCTAGTCTCCAGGCCTGTAAGAGAATAAATTTCTGTTGTTTAAAGGCATCACATTTGCATAATTTGTTATGGCAGTCCTAGAACAGTGATACACAGGGTAGATCCAAAGGTGCCATCAATAGGGAATATACACAGTTATTTACATGAAATTGGCATATCATCGCTGTGAAAGGAAAATAATTGGGGACCCCAAATCACTAAGCCAAAGGGAAAAGTCAAGCTGGGAACTGGCAAACCTGCCTCCCATTCTATTCCTACGTAAGGTTGCTACAAAAATAAAAAAAGCTACACACCTCTCTCACAATTTGCCCACAAGGAAATTCCTTGTGGACTAAAGGACAAAAGACAGAACTCAAAGTCATTCCCTTGCTCACATGAGACAAATGCACACAATTAAAGAATGCCACTGTTTGTTTCTTTTCTACCTGTGACCTGAAGCCCCCTCCCCACTTTGAGTTGTCCTGACTTTCCAGACCAAACTAATGTACATCTTACATATATTGATTGATGTCTCATGTCTCCCTAAAATGTATCAAATCAAGCTTTGTGCCGACCACTTTGCCTACGTGTCCTCAGGACGTCCTGAGGCTATGCCACGGGCGTGTCCTTAATCTTGTCAAAATAAACTTTCTAAGTTGACTGAGACCTGTTTCAGATATTTTGGGTTCACATAGCCAAGCAGAATTGACATCATTTGAGGTCACTAGGGATTCTAAACAGAGTTGCAGGCCAGCGTCTCAGGGTGATCTTCCTCGGTGACATCAGCGAGCTGACTGACCCAGGCCACCTGTTGTTCTGTGCGCCTCATCCACCCCCTCTGCTGGCCCTGGCCAGGTTCCCAAGAGCTTCTGGATGGATCTTTGTTCTAATTGGCCATTGATAACATGGGCTCATTTCCGCATCCCCTCTGTGCTAGACTGTAATGATGATTGATGCAGGTAGCAAATGGCCTAGAGTCGCCCTCACAGCCTTATTATTGCAGATACAATTACCACCAGGCTGAGCTTGCTGCTATAGTAGCTGATAATGGACTCTAATTTGCCAGTGGGGCTTGTGTTCCTTTGTTCCCAGACAGAGATCCATTTCTAAACTAGAGAGTAATTCATAAATATTTTTCTCTCCCGTCATGAGGGAAGGCCAGATTTAATTGCACAATGAAAGGCAATTCTACCCAGAAGCCACGGCAGGAGGCTGTGCTCTGCTAGGGCACGGCTCACTGATCCAGGCTGTTCATTTTGCAGAAAAGCCCTCTGAGGCCCACAGAGGTAATGTGACTTGTCCAAGGTCACACAGTGAATTAGCTAGATCTGTATGCTCTGCCACTGCCTCTCTCGCTCCTTGCGCTGGAGAGTAAAGTAGCAAAGGACCAGGTGTTTGCTCTAAGCAGCCCTTTGGACTTGAGCCACTTTGACCTCTGCTTATTTGTAATAATGATAGGAATTATTTTTCTTTAAAATAGTATACTTGTTGTTTCTATTTTGTAATAGTCAGAAGCTCATAGATGAGAATTTGGAAAATATAGAAAAATTTAAGAAAAACCATGAAGAGATGACTTCAAGTTAGCATGTTTCATTCACTTACAATTATTTTATGTATATGTAAACATTTTTAATTTTTATTTTGGATAAAATTGAGGTTATATATACAGTTTTATATTCTGTGTTTTTCCATTTATTGCAGTTTAGTTATTTTCTCACATCAAGTGCCATGCTGTATCTTCAAAAATATGTTTGTATAATATTATACAGATGATGAAGTTATTTAAACATTTTTGCTATTGTCATTTAAGTGGTTTTGTAATTTTGCAATTATAAATAACGCTGTTGTGTTATTTATGCATACATATTTATGATTGTCTCTGATTATTTCTTTATAATAAATACAAGTAGAAGTTGGGGTCAAAAGCCGGGCGCGGTGGCTCACGCCTGTAATCCCAGCACTTTGGGAGGCCAAGGTGGGTGGATCACGAGGTCAGGAGATCGAGATCATCCTGGCTAACATGGTGAAACCCCGTCTCTACTAAATATATAAAAATATTAGCTGGGTGTGGTGGCGGGTGCCTGTAGTCCCAGCTACTCAGGAGGCTGAGGCAGGAGAAGGGCATGAACCCAGGAGGCAGAGGTTGCAGTGAGCCGAGATCACGCCACTGTGCTCCAGCCTGGGTGACAGAGTGAGACTCCATCTCAAAAAAAAAAAAAAAAAGAAGTTGGGGTTAAAGAGTGTGAATTTTCAAAGAGTCCTAAATAATACATATTGCTAAGTTACATGGCTTCATATCAGAGCAAAAATTGAATGTTGGACTTACAATCAGAAAAACTGGGCTTGAATCTCAAGTTTACACTTATTAGCTGTATGACCACAAGCAAATTCCTTTCTTTCCTTGACCTGATGTGTAAAAGAAGAACAATAACTACCTTATCAGGTTATTATGAAAATATCAGGTTGGTGCAGAAGTAATTGAAAAGTAATTGCGGTTTTTGCCATTGAAATTAATGGCAAAAACCACAATTACTTTTGCACCAATCTAATAAAAGGAAATAAATATTAAAATGCTTACACAATGACTAACACTTAGCAGACACTCAACAAATATTTATTGGTTTTGTTTTGAGCTTTTGCCATCAGTGAAAAAGAAGCCAAGCACTGGAATCTTCTAGGAAAAGGTCAGGGATTTTCATTTTCCAAACAAGTGACTGTTGGTGTGAGGAGGATACAGTAAGATTCTTCTGTCTGCCAGCATGTAGGTCAGTTCAATGGGATACCCAGGTAAAAGCTATTCTCAGTTGCTAATGTAATAATGAAAACAAATGCCAGGATTATAACAGCTCAAAGGACAGTCTCATCTGGCATTTTGATGAGGCCAATCTCTTCCTATGGAGACGATTGGGAAGTCAAACTGCCTTCAGAAAGTTAGGATTTACCTAATGCAATGGGCAAATGCAGTCAAGTTTGATGTGGCCATAAGCTCTTCTTGGAGGAGGAAGAGGAGAGAATGGTTGTATATGAGACCAAGAAAATGAAGCTCTAACTGTGCATCCTTCCCTGAATTCTCGGGTTCCCAAAAGCAAACAAGGAAGTGGGGCAGAGAAAACCTGGAGGAAGTAAGCTAAAACCAATCAAACGTGGGCCTTGAATCAGCAGGACTTGGGTGCAAATCCAATCTCTGACCCTCCCTAGCTATGTGACTTTGGGCAAGCCACTAGACCTTGACCTCCCCTGGTTAGTTTCCTGCTCTGTTAAAGGATGCTGATGCAGGCTACTCAGCAAGGTTTTTAATTAGGCTAAAAGGAAGTGAGTATGAGACAGAAAGTGGCCAATACATGGTAAGCAGTATTACTATTATTTATGTAACATTGGTTAATCCTTTTTATTTTATTATTTTTATTTTTTAAGATGAAGTCTCACTGTGATGCTCAAGCTGGAGTGCAGTGGTGCGACCTCAGCTCTCTGCAACCTCCAGCTCCTGGGTCCAAGCGATTCTCCTGCCTCAGGCTCCTGAGGAACTGGGACTACAGGCACGCACCACCATGTCTGGCTAATTTTGTATTTTTAGTAGAGATGGGGTTTCACTATGTTGGCCAGGCTGGTCTTGAACTCCTGACCTTGTGATCTACCCACCTCGGCCTCCCAAAGTGCTGGGATTACAGGCATGAGCCACTGCGCCTGGACAACACTGGTTAATCTACTACCTTATTTTCATATTTTCATAATAAAATGGGAACAATAAAAATAATTTTTCCATGTCTCGATGTTATGGAGATTGTTGACAAAATGATGTGAGAGTATCACGTCATCTGTGCAGTGCTACAAACAAGTTGAGATTGGAAGGGAAGGGGCTCACCCCTGAGCATAGGGTAACAAAGGGTAGCAGCTGCTAGAGGGTCTGGGACCTGGGGCTTCCTCTTGTGACTCCCGCATTGCCTTAGGTCTGCAGGTTGCTCACCACTTCCTTAGGCATTGCCCTCCAGTCATTGCTTACTGAGTGCCAAGATTATTCAGATGTTTAGTGTGACAAAATCATGCATGTCAGGATTTAAGCACATCCTACAGAGACAGTTTGGGATAATCAACACTTGTTTCCCAACAAGGCCTGTGGCTCCTGTGGTCTACTTCCAAGGCGAAGGCCTAATCATAGCAGTCAGGGAGCTATGTGGAGAAGGACGAGTGGGTGGTGCTTCCACCAACAGGCTCTGAACCTCCAACACCAGAATGGCCTCCTTCTGGCATTTTGCTGGTTACAGATCCATCTGAGAGGGTCTAAAATGTCAGGCCTACTCCCACCCACCTGACACAATGCATCCCTTCTCTCAAAAGTTCACTCTCTGCAGTCATCATCAGGTATGTATCAGATTGTGGCCAGGGCAGGTAATCTTTGTGAAGCCAAATGCCATTGGTGACATGATTTTGAGCCACTTAAATTCAATACAATGAAAGATTTTCATGAAACTGTGGCGTTAGGCAGGATTCCCGACAGAAAGGTCAGTACTCTTAAAGTCTTTTTGTGCCTTTGACTTACATTTAAGTTCTATATAATAATCAAACCTAACCCAAATGCATTATTATTTGTAGTAGAAATTAGGAATCCTGCATGCATTTTAGACTTTTCATCCTGTGACCCACAATTTCAAAAGATGCCAACAAAAGATGATTTCACCAAAGTTATTGTTGATTTGGGAGAACACAAGGGGAGGTGTAAATGATATTTCACAAGCTCTTCTTTGATGACTCTATTGGTTACAGAGAGAGATGTGAGTGGATAGACCCATCATTCAGTAAATATTTAATGAGAGCCTGCCATATGGGTACTGCTTGCTGGTGGCCAGAGCCCCCTGGGAGTGGGAATAGAGAGGAGGGAATGCATGACAATGAGTGGTTATGAGAAATTAGATCTGAAGGCTTGGCCCCCAAGGAATGAGGAAGAAGAAGCCTTAGGTTACTTCTAGGTTTTAGCTTGAGCGACTGACTAGGCAACTAGAGGTGATGCCCCCAGGAGAAGAAAATGCAGAAAGAAGAGTGGCTTTGCAGGGGTGATTGAAGGGGCCTGTAAGGAATCATCCAGTCTTGATGACTGAGTCCTTTCCCCCGGGAGGCAAGGCATGGAGACAGGTGCATCCACAATAGTGTACATTTTCTCCAAAATTATAGAGAAGGAAACTAGTCGTCAGAAAAGAGACATTATGTACTTCAGCAATGCCAGGGATCAAATATGAGAAAAGACCTCTCATTGACTCATCCATCTGAGTGACAAAATAGAGAACAGAAACCAGGGTATGGAGTATGTATCAGTTAGCTATGGCTGCATAGCAAATCACCCTAAAACTCAGTGAGTTAGAACATCAGCCATTTCTTCTCATGAATCCATGGGTCAGCTGATCCATGATTTCCACTCATGAGAACTGGTCTTGGCTGATCTTGGCTGATCTTGGCTGGACTTGTTGCATGTGTGATTAGCAGGCTGGTTGTTTGGAGCTAGCTGTTCTGGGATGGCTTCAGCTGGGATAACTCAGCTCTGATCACTGTTATCTCCCGTCCTCCAGAAGCTTGTTCTCACAACAGATTTGGGGTTGCAAGAGGGAGCAGAGGCGTGCAAGACCTCTTGAGGCTTGGGCTTGCACCTGGTATGCTGTCATTTCTGCTGCAGAGTAAGTCACAAAGGCCGGCCCAGATTCAAGGGGTAGGGGAGTAAACTCCACCCCTTGATGGGAGGAGCTACAGAGCTACATTACAACAATGTGAATACAGGGAAAGACAGAGAATTGGGACCATTTTTTGGAAACAATCAACCTCCTATGAGGTCCTGAGACCAGGAAAGCTGAGGAGAGCAGAGGCTGAGCAGATGGAATATTGGCACTCAGACTGGCCTTGTGCAAGGTTCAGTGCAGTATGAGGGGCATGAACCAGGTTCATTTAAAGGGAATGGAACCCATTGGCCACCTAGGTGGAAGTGACACAATGTGGAGGTTAAGCTGGCATGATGTTAGAACAAACTCCTGTCTCCTTTTGCCCTCCAAACACTTGTGGGGACACATTGATTTAGTCAAAATGAGTCTCATTCAAAGCCAGGCAACACCTCAGTGTTGTGATTCTGTGAACAAGTTTTGAGCCTTTTCTTGCAAGAGTTTGTGAGTACAGAATAAGAGGGTGATCGGCCATTGCAACAGAGCCTGGAGGTAAAGCCTCACCTCTATCCCTGTTTTGGCAGGAAGCTCATGTTTCTTATGTGGAGCCAATCGAAGCATCATATGCTGTTTGGCATCTGCACACTGACCGGCTGAACGTGAATCAGCAATGTTGTGCAACTTTCAGAAAAACCAAGGAGTGTCCAGGGGAGAACTAACAGGAACGAAGAATTTAGCAGCCCAAGAGAGATTCTCGTGATTTCCAAATTAGCCAAAACTCACCAGAATGTTCAATTGCCCTCTGGCCATCACGTAACCATGTCGTAAGAAGTATACAGGGCCCAGGAAATGAAGGTGGGGATGCAGTCAGAGGAAAAAAGGCTCACAAGGAAAAAGCCAAGGATTTGAACAACTAGACTAAAAGAAGAAAGCACTGAAGAGAGACTAACATGATTTTTGGTATAAAAACGGCATTCATGGTGATAAAACAGGCCCCATCTCCATTGAGGAAAATAAGAGGAGGTGAGGAAGATGAAGCCACAGCACAGAATATTAAGGTTAGATTTAAAGGAAGAACTGTGACTGTTCTTAGGTGTTACAGAATTAGCTCTTTAGGAGAAGGAAATAGGTTGAGTACTTGAATAAGTGCAGTATGTCCATATTGATGCTTGATATGAAGGTTACCTGCAGAGCTACTGCATAAATGACTGTGAAACTTCCTTCATGAGGGTCTTTAAAATGAGATAACTGCTCTGAGGTAAGAGACTGAGGGTAAGATTAACTACCTGCTTGCATTAGTTTCGAGTCCTTAAAAATTGAATATCCACACGTGTTTGTGGGCCCCTGTGGTTTTTTAAACTGTTGTGTTTCATGTCTTTGCTAATCATTTCTAGTTTTAATAGTAAGGATTTCCTCTGTCTTGAATGCCAGGAAACAAGTTATTTCCATCCTGGTATTCATTGGATATTTGTAAGATCTTTATTCTTTTGAGGGGTCAGGCAGAGGATGGGCACCCAAGCGTGAACCTGAGAACTTTGCACGTGGGTTTTTCTGGAGCTCCTCACTGTAACGTGGCATTGTCCCCAAGGCCAGCTCCTCTTCCATGTGATTTTGCTACTCACACATGCAGCAATTACCATGTGGCATTAGCTGACCTTGCCGGGCACAGTGTTATTATTGTCATTATTTTTTCTTTTTTGAGACAGAGTCTTGCTCTGTCGCCCAGGCTGGAGTGCAGTGGCGCGATCTCGGCTCACTGCAAGCTCTGCCTCCCGGGTTCACGCCATTCTTCTGCCTCAGCCTCCCGAGTAGCCGGGGCTACAGGTGCCGGCCACCACACCACACTAATTTTTTGTATTTTTAGTAGAGACGGGGTTTCACCGTGTTTGCCAGGATGGTCTCCATCTCCTGACCTCGTGATCTGCCCTCCTCGGCCTCCCAAAGTGCTGGGATTACAGGCGTGAGCCACCGCGCCCTGCCCGGGCGCAGTGTTATTTGGGGCTGTTGACCTGAAGTAGGTCTGACTGAGATGCTTTGAGTTACAAGCACTGGAAGCAAATTCTGACGTAAGCAGGAAAGATGGTTCCATTTACTCATTTATAAAACAGACTGGGGTCCATGCTTGATAGAGAGAGGGGGAGAAACTTGCAGGCCAGTGAGAAAACTGGGAAAGGGTGGTGCTCCCACAGTTAACAACAAGCACATGGGTGTCAAGTACGAGACTACAGACAAGTGATAGGCAGTGTGAGGCTGGGGATGAATCAGCTCAATAGAGGCAAAGGCAATCAAATGTCAACTACCACCCTGTGAGCCGCGTGGGCAAAGGAGTCCTGATATTAAGGAGGCTAGGAACAAGCTGCTTGGTGTTTTAAGGTGAGGCGGAGAAACGCAGGTGCCTGTGGGCAGGGCCTGGATGACGACATTGCTTGGGTGTCTGAAGTGGGTGATTCATCAGGGAGCCACAGCTGTTTACAGCTGACCCATGTGTTAAATATTCATCGCCCAGAGAAGGGAAATGTGTTCCAGTGCCCCCAAGCAAAGCTGAGGCTTTTCTGTTTGATTAGAAGATAAGTAAAAAAATAAGATGACACATTTTCTCTTTCTCCTAAGTTCCCAGGGACTTTCAGTAAGTTGAGGTTACTTGCAGGGTTTGAATAAGGAAAAAAAAAATCTGTTTATTTGACATCACCTTTTTCAAAGTGTGTGTGTAGGAGGATGTGGAGGTGGGAACAAGGCAGGAGTCATTCATTTCTGATACAAAAGAACTGGGCTAACTTCCCAGAGCGCTGTGGTCTGGCTTGACTCTCTGGTACTTACGTAGAAGCACCTATGGAGGTGATTGAGCCATCTGATGACTGGTCTCAATGGAAGGTCCACAGGGGATGTTATGTTTATTAGTAGATGACAGATGGAATACCATTATAAGTGACCATAAAATATAGTCAAGAGCGGATGGTTGCCGCTCTTGGGGTTGATCTGAGAAATATCGAGGAAAGCCTACATTCTATACCTGAAATATTTGTCACTGATGAACTTTTCCATTTAGACTAATTTTTCAGATGCTTTACAATAATTTTTCAGTGATAGGCTGGGCATGGTGGCTCATGCCTGTAATCACAGCACTTTGGGAGGCTGAGGCCAGAAGATTGTTTGAGCCTAGGAGTTCTAGACCAGTCTGGGCAACATAGTGAGACCTTGTCTCTACAAAAAATAAAAACAAATATACAGCCAGTCACGTTGGCACACGCCTGTAGTCCCAACTACTCAGGTGGACTAAGGGGAGGGTTGATTGAGGCAGGAAGGTTGAGGCTGCAGTGAGCTGTGATCGCACCACTGCACTCCAGAGCCTGGGTGACAGAGTGGGACCCTGTCTAAAATAATAATAGTAATGATAATTAGTCAGTGATGATATATAATATGTATGTATGACTTTGAAGTATATATATATTCCTTTGAGTTAGACATTGTTGTCTCCAAATGATCTAAGAAAGCTTAAGTTACTGGCTTGGAGTCATGTAGATGAGGAATTGCAGAGGTGTTGTTTTTAATGGAGACATTCCTAATTCTAAGTTCTCTTATATTTATCTTACACCCTAGCCAAGAAGAAATTTACAAGAGGCAAGGTAAGGATTCTAAATCAGCAGGTGTCGGAGAGCAAAGTTCCCAAGAAGTAGAGGTGGCAAGACCCAAAGACAGACTTAGCCTCTTTAGCTATTTTTGCCTCCCTCCAAGCTTTGCACAGTGGGCTGGGGACACACCTCTGTGGCCTGGAAGAGGAGGTTTTTGAGGGTTCATCCATTGTACAATTTTATTAAACATCTACTTTGTACCAATCCCTGTTCTCATCACTGAGGACAGATTGAGGAGTAAGACACAAAATTTCTTCCCTCGTAAAGCTTTGGTTTCGGGTAGGGAGGTAAGGGTCACCCAGCCTTATGGCTTAACTTCTTGTGGCTAACTTCGAGCATCAGTGCCTTCTTTACTAAATTGTCAAGACTGAACAGTAAAGTCGTTACAAGGATGGGTTGGAATCCCCACTTTTCCACTCAATTTTCTTTGTGATAAAAGGTGACATAAAAATAACTAATTTGTCAGGAGAATTAAATAGGATAATGTAGGTAATGTGTTCATCACAGTGCCTGACATGCAGCGAGTGCATACCTATTGCTGTCATCATAATCACTTTAATATAGGATGCCAAAACCAGTAGCAGCAGGTTTCCCCCAGCAAATGGAGTTGAATTCAGTTGCCAAATTGTCCAAAACAAAGACCAACAGAGAATACCCTTCCTGGTATGGGATTACTTCAGGCTGCATGGGAGACAGACAGGGCTCTATCACATTCTCACCTCATTAGATGTGGCAGAGGAAGCAAAGTGCTCCAGAGTGACCCTGGAGCTGAGTCCTTGCAATTTTCTGGAAGCTCTTGTTAGAACGCATATGACATGCCCACCAGCATACCGGCTCTTGGAGGTTATGAAGCTGTGAAGTATCTCCTAATTATTTCTTTCAAATAAATGTGACCTATTTCCTTTTTTCCAAGAATACATTAACTATAGTCATCATGTTATACAATAGATCTCTTGAACTCATTCCTCCTGGGTAACTGAAATTTTGTATCCTTCAACCAACATCTCCCCAATCCTAAATATGCCCTATTTCTACTGTGGCAAAGTAAGGAAAATTGTCCGGTGAATGCCTGGAAGATCAATGGCCAGGCAGTGGGTTCACCAGGGTCAAGAGCCCCCTGTTCTCCAGTGGCAGGTCTTGTGCCCAAACTCAGCTTCCCGAGGACTGTGCCCCTTCCCTGCCCATGCAGCAGCTGAATCCAGCATCTTACAAGGTCTCCGGGTACAAATGTGAATGTTCTCTGACAGCTTTGCCTACAGCTGAAACATATAGGCAGATGGCAGGTGCTAACATTTCATCTAATCATTCCTCACAACCAAGGCTGTTTTTGACTCTCAATCTAAGAAGACAGGAAGGCAATGCCCCTTCCCCAGAGCACAGACGTGCAGTGTGTCTGCTCAAATACAGCTCTTCCTGCGATGATGACAGGATGGGTACTATGGTACTATGTGTCTCTTCTTGCCGATCTTGGCATCTAATTCCTCCTTTCACAAAGCCTGTTCTTTCACCTTTATCATACATCCTGGTGGGTATCTGCTTTTGCTCATTACTCTATTACTTCTCACTAGAGAGAATGTGTTCAAATGAGAGTCAAAGTGGCTACTAAAAAACATCTATGTGAACGTGGAATAAGAATCTATTTAAATAAATTCCCCAACATTCTTCATTCAGCAGCTCCTGATAACACACGGTTGAAAATAGTTTTCAGATAAATATAGGAAAGTAGTAAATTCAAGTAAAGAATGTAAAACTACTCCAGTCCTACTTTCCAGCTTAAATAAAAGCAGCGTTACCACTTAAGACATACTGTGTTTGCCTGTGCCCATGGTCCCATTGTAAGGAAAGATTCCCTGATTCATATGCTCACTTTTTGCATTGGAGTTATTTTTCCACTCTGAATTGTTGCCAATATTATTTTTCACATGTATATTTTCATTCCTCTCAAATTACTTCATAAGTGTATGTTTGATTTCCTTAGTGTATAAGCATCCCAAGGTCAAGATCTACATCTTATTTATTTTGTATCCCTCCAGAGTAGACATTAAGTAACTGAGTTTTTAAACTGTATTATTATGGTTAGAATAAAGATATCTTCTTTGAAAATGTCCAAACCCAAAGTCCAAAGTATTGGGAAAAAATAAATAAAGCCAAGAATTATGTTTCTTTTTACCCATTCATTCCTAAAGCTAATTTGTTAGAAGTACAAATACAGACATTAATTATTTTGTGGATTTTGGTATCTTTAGAGAGGCAACAAAGTCCATATTTTGTATTGTCTCTTTGTCTGATTTTATGAATCAGTTCTTTGAATTTTGATGGAGGCTGCTAATGCCTCCTCTGTAGCTATTATGATGAGGGCTTCCAATTATACTGTGTTAGTTCGTTCTCACATGGCTAGAAGGAAATACCCAAGACTGGGTAATTTACAAAGGAAAGAGGTGTAATTCACTCACAGTTCTGTATGGCTGGGAAGGCCTCAGGAAACTTAACGATCATGGCAGAAGGTGAAGGGGAGGCAGGCACCTTCTTCACAAGGCGGCAGGAGAGAGAATGACTGCAGGAGGAACTAGCAACACTTATAAAACCATCAGATCTCATGAGAACTCACTCACTATCATGAGAACAGCATGGGGGAAACCGCCCCTTGATTCAATTACCTCCACCTGGTCTGTCCCTTGACAGGTGGGGATTGCAATTTAAGATGAGATTTTGGGTGGGGACACAGCCAAATCATATCCTATACTTTCTCATCCTACTGCGTTTTTAATTAGGGACAGATTTAAATTAGAGATAGGTATTAGTGAGAACAGGAAGTAGTTATTCATCTCTTCTCAAGTTTGTGTGAGCACAAGTGGGGGAAACATCCCTGATCTTTGGCTAGTGTCCACTAGCCTTTCAAAGTATGTTTGAAACTCTCTTAGATTTTATTTTGGCTGAGAGGACAGGCTTACCAAATGTTTTCACATGGTAATACCTCCAAATAAAACAGAAAGCCACCACTAAATAAACACATAGCTTCAGAAACAGGACTATACCACGAAGCACTGAGCCAGCATGGATTTTTAAATGCACGTTATGGCTATACGGACACAATGAACCTATTAAAACTTAAGGTGTTTAAATGAGATTTTGGAATCAAATAATACTCTGTCAATAATCCAAGGATTTTTATCCCCCTTAAAGAAGTCTGATTTAATGGGAAAAAATTTCTAAACTTATGTTTCTTTTAAAGTGAATGCAGGTTTATTAAGAAAATAAAGGAATTAAAGAATGTCTGCTCCATAGGCACAGCAGCAGCTTGGGCTGCTAGACTAAGAATACTTATGGTTATTTCTTGATTATATGCTAAACAAGGGATGGATTATTCATGAATTTTCCGGGAAAGGGGTGGGCAATTCCCAGAACTGAGGGTCCCTCCCCTTTTTAGACCATATAGGGTAACTTCCTGATGTTGCCATGGCATTTGTAAACTCTCATGGCACTGGTGGGAGTGTCTTTTAGCATGCCAATGCATTATAATTAGCATATAACGAGCAGTGGGGATAACCAGAGGTCACTTTTGTTGCCATCTTGATTTTGGTGGGTTTTGGCTGGCTTCTTTACTGCAACCTGCCAAATTAATTTTGATTGCCTTTCTTGCCTCAAGTAGTTTTTGGTATCTGCACTGTCTTTATGCAGAAACATGGGCATTTCAAGGTGAGCGACGGCTGAGAGAGCAGGAGAGCAAGAAGGAGTAGGAGAAAGATTGCAAAGAAAGGAAGGAGGAAAGGGAAAGAGGAAAGACAGCAATTGGAAAAAGCGGTTTGAAGAATACACGAATACAGAGGAGGATGGGAGAGAAAGACTAGTCTGGGCAAATTTCTCTAAAACTACAGGAACTGGGCAATTACATCGAAAATATCTGAGACGAGTAGCCCAGGAACTCTTTGTTAGAAAGATGAGCGCAGATTGCCTGTGCTTTTCTGAGCAGAGGTCATACTCCCTTCTAAGCAGCCCCTATGTGGATTTTCTAGGCAATGGCCTCCCCTATAGCAGATGCTGGCGCTGCTCCACAGGTATCCCTTTGGTTCTTCTGCCATATTCTTGTACAACTTTCACTCCTGACAGCCAGCGTGGCTGAGTCGCCTTGTCTGAGGACCGCCACTGTTCTCAGCCTGTAATAACACCTTCAACTTGGCTTCCTCTGCACACTCTGAAAGCTGGAAGTGTCTAGGAACATACATCCCCATCCCATTCCCCATGGTAGTCCTTGATGGTGGGTGACTGATGGATACAATGTTATCATTATTCCAGCTCTCTTGTTCCTTCATCTCTGAGGTGTGGTTGCTGTGTCTCTACAGCATCCTCTGCAGGACTGAGCTCCCTTCCCTTCCTTTCTCCACTTCCCTCTACTGGTTTCCTAAATCCACTTCCTAATAAAGCTTATGAAACCCCATCTCAGGGATCTCGGATCTTAATCTAAGACATAAGTCAATTAACCTAAATGCCCAGATTATTCCAACGGCCATTGAGATGTTTCCTTGATCCTCAGGAGTGACCCAGCAGTGTGGAGGATTTACTCCACGTGCAGGTCTACACTTGTAATTACAGACTACATTCCTGAAAGATAGTCTCCCTCTGCCCACACTTTTCCCTTCTAGCACTCGGCTTCTTTGCCATATGTGTCCTGGGTCATATGGGCACCTGTCTTGAGCCACATCCTTGGAGACCTCTGCCCTCACAGTCTCCTTGCCCCTCCCAGGCTCTGCATGGTTGCTGGAGCTCAGCTCCATCCGCAAGTCTGACGGGCATTTTTCTCCAGAGCTGGGTGTGCTTGGGAATTGGCTGGATTTTAACACCCATCCCTTTAACCACTGTCTGCTGGCATCGCCTCTGCTGGGATGGGTTGGAGCCCACAGGAGCAAAAGGCAGACATCTTCACTCACAGCCTTGTGGTTTGAATACACATTTATCACCCAAACCAAGACAGGTGTTAGAACTGGAGTCGGGGGGAGCGGGTCGGTACTAAAATAGCACCTGGGTTTTTATAATTTTGAGGGAGGCAGCTGAGGTGGTGTTTTCTGTCCCTGTGATTCTATAACAGGAACTCTCTGAAGTTCCTGTGGCTCACCATCTTCAGTGAATCAGTTCTCAGGAATCTAGTTTAGAGGGGGCCATTTTTAAATCCTAAAATACTATTAAAAATGTGTCTGGATCTACTCATTTCTTAATCCCAAAATACTATTAAAAATGTGTCTGGATCTACTCATTTATTCTCCCACTTACATAAAAAGAGGGTGGATAATCACTCCCCTTTTCAAAGTTAGAAAATGAAAGTGGTGATGACAATTTGTCCTTAATAAGGTTGTTCTGTATGAATCCAAGCTGGGAAAAGCTCTCTGCTGGTGGGTCCGTGGAACAGACAGATGCATCCCATCAGGAAGCCAATTTGGAGGCATGTGGTAATGACAATTTCCTCTAAAAAAACCCTGCAGTATCTGTTGAGCACCTACTGTATGCTGAGTAATGTAAGGACAGGTGATGTTGGTGCCAGTAGGGATATCTTATAGTGACTTTATTTGCTCTCCAGGAATTACGTTGCTTATAAAAATATGTTAATTTTGGCATCTTTGACCCAGGTATTTTATTGCAAATAATAGTGACATGAGAAGTCTTTCCTGGATAGAGAAATCTGAGAGTTTTTATTTAAGTTGTTGCAATCTTGAAATAAGCTGTCTGGTTATGTTGGGGATTCCCGCATCAGTGGTCAGCTGCCTCCTTCTTACTCTAGTTGCAGAAAAATTGCCATGAGCCATGATTTTTGGGGGAGCTGTTTCTTTTTTTGTTTTAACTTATTTTTCCATAGGTTATTGGGGTACAGGTGTTGTTTGGTCAGATGAGTAAGTTCTTTAGTGGTGATTTGTGAGATTTTGGTGCACCCATCACGCGAGAAGTATACACTGCACCCTACTTGTAGTTTCTTATCCCTTGCCGCCTCCCACCCCCAAGTCCCCAAAGTCCATTGTATCATTCTTATGCTTTTGCATCCTCATAGCTTAGCTCCTACACATCAGTGAGAACATACGATGTTCAGTTTTCAATTCCTGAGCTACTTCATTTAGAATAATAGTCTCCAATCTCATCCAGGTCTCTCCAAATGCCGTTAATGCATTCCTTTTCATGGCTGAGTAGTATTCCATTGTATATGTATACCACAGTTTCTTTATCCACTTGTTGACTGATGGGCATTTGTGTGGGTTCCACGATTTTGCAATTGTGAATTGTGTTGCTATAAATGTGTGTGCAAGTATCTTTTTCATATAATGACTTCTTTTCCTCCAGGTAGATACCCAGTAGTGGGATTGCTGGATCAAATGGTAGTTCTACTTTTAGTTCTTTAAGGAATCTGAGAGCTGTTTCTGATTGTCTTTTTTTTTTTTTTTTGACCATCAGCAACAGCTGAAATTATGAACATTATGAACACATCCTTGTCTTTTTGACATTACGAACATGTCCTTGTCTTTTTTATACATCTTATTTATTGAAAGTTCTTATAAGTAATCAGCTTTAAAATATTTAAATGTAATTATATGGGCTATAAATTAATGAAAATAAACATTCCTAAGAGGAATAACAAACTGGAACATATAACAATTAAAATTTTTTTCCAAGGGTAGTTTTTAATTAAACAATTATTCCAAAACTATCAAGCTTGTTTAAAAACCAAGAAGCATGAAAGTGAAAAGTACTCACCTCTCTCCCCGCAAACTTCATTTTCTAGATTTGACCTCAACCACAGTCTGTATGTTTAACTGAGCTTTAAAATGTTACTTGCAGTACTGAGATAAGAGATTCCAAAGGGAAGGGAAAATCTGCCCAAAGGCGATGGTCAGATAGCAATTATATAACTCGTGTACCTCTTACTCACATTATATAAAGGGTTAGTTTTGTGGAGTTAAATAAGGAGGTTTGGGGAGAAGGTTTTTGGAGAGCACTGTTGGAGTATTACAAGTCTCCCCCTCCAAATTGGTGCATTTGGGTTTTAAGATCACTTAAAGCTTTAAGGTACCCTTGAAGTTTTGGGGTTTGCTGGGCCAGTACATAATTTAGATTTTAATTAGTGTTATTACACATAAGTATAATTCATTTAATTTGTATAAAATTTAGATTTTTTTCCAACTAGAAAAATCTAAAAGGTGGGATATTGGTTGGCCAGCAGGGAGAGATTGCTGCCGGTTGGGAATGGTCTATGCTTCCAGAGTTTGTAGCAGCTAAGGATGGGCGAGTGTTAACCATGGACTGGATATAGGCTGTATGTAAGGGAAAACCAACGTGGGATCAACTCCAGTCCAGTTCAAGGTGCCAGCTCAGCAGGAAAAGGCCAGAGGTGAATGGAATCTAGCCATTCCAAGGCTGAGATGAGGAAGGAGCTGAGTTGAAGTGCTGAGTAGAAACAGAGATGCATCTGCTAGTATCAGTGGAAGTGTAGGAGAAACTTCTCCAGAAATAGGAGGGGAGGGCTTCTAAAGAACCCATGAAAGTTCCCACAAGGAAAAAATCAGCATAAACTGTGGTAAGACCAGAGGTCACTGGCATCAGCTCACTTCAGTATCAAAAAAGGAAGAACCTTCCTACTCCCCTTTCCTTTGATCCTTTCCTGGGCTCTAACCCTGGAGGGTCAAGAGCTAGGGGGATGGAAAAATGTGGCAGGCAACTAACCCTTCCCAAGGATGACTTCCTACCTGCAATAGACCTGAGTTGGGAAAAAGGGGAGAAATCTCAAACTTAAATCAAATTTGAAGTGTTGATTTTTAGATGAATATTACATGATTACTAAATTGAAACTATGTTCTACATCTTAAAATGGCTGTAGGAATTTCTATGATGTGGAAATAACCACGAGCCCTGCCTAAATTTACATCCAGGGTCAAAGGAGAAACAAGTAACCCTCACTAAATAAGCATCAAGGAATAAAAGATGGCTCATGAGTCATACTTGTCTGACATGAAAGTTATACAAATGCATACAGGCATAACTTAGCGATGTTGCCAATTTGGGTCTAGACAATTGCAATAAAGCAAATGCTGCAATAAAGCAAGTTGCATAAATTTTTGGGCTTCCCAGTGCATATAAAAGTTATGTTTACACTCTGCTGTAGTCTCTTAAGTGTGCAATAGCATTATGTCTAAAAAAATGTGCATATCTTTATTGCTAAAAAAATGTCAATGATCGTTTGAGCTTTTGGCAAGTTGTAATATTTTTTGCTGAAGGAGGGTCTTCCCTCAATTCTGATGGCTGCTGAGTTATCAAGGTGGTTGTTGCTGAAGATTGGAGTGGCCGTAGCAATTTCTTAAAATAAGACAATGACATTCTCCACATCAATTGATTCTTTCTTTCACAAAAGATTTATCTGTATCAAGCAGTGCTGTTTGATAGCATTTTACCCACGATACAATTTCTTTCAAATTAGAGTCAGTCTTCTCAAATCATGTTACTGTTTTATCAACTTGGTTCATGGAATGCTCCATTTATTTTTTGGTTGTGATTTCAATAGTGTTCACAGCGTCTTCACCAGGAGTCGATTCCATCTCAAGAAACCATTTTCTTTGCTCATCCATAAGAAGCAACTCTTAATCCATTCAAGTTTTATCATGAGATTGCAGCAATTCAGACTCATCTTCAGGTTCCGCTTCTAATTCTAGTTCTCTTACTATTTCCACCCCATCTTCAATTACTTCCTTCACTGAAATCTTGAGTGCCTCAAAGTCATCCATGAGTGTCAGAATCCACGTTTCAAACCCTGTTAATGTTGATATTTTGACCTCCTTCATGAATCACGAATGTTCTTAATGGCATCTAGAACGGGGAATCCTTTTTAGGTTTTCAATTTTCTTTGCCCAGATCTATCAGTGGAATCATTATGGCAGCTACAGCCTTATAAAATGTATTACCAGAATAATAAGACATGAAAGTTGAATTATTCCTTGATACATGAGCTGCAGAATGGATGTTGTATTAGCAGTCATGAAAAACATTATTCTCCTTGTATATCTCCATTAGAGCTCTTGAGTGACTAGGTGCATTATTGTCAATGAACATCTTGAAGGGAATCTTTTTTTTTTTTTCTGAGCAGTGGTTTTCAACAGTGAGCTTAAAGTATTCAGTAAACCATGCTGTAAACAGATATTCTGTCATCCAGGCTTTGTTGTTCCATTTATAGAGCACAGATAGAGTAGAATTAGCTTAATTTTAAGAGTTCAAGGATTTTTGGAATGGCAAACGAGCACTGGCTTTGACTTAAGGTCACCAGCTACATTAGTCCCTGAAAAGAGAGTTGGCCTCTCCTTTGAAGATTTGAAGCCAGGCATTGAGTTCGCCTCTGTAGCTTTTAAAGTCCTAGATGACACCTTCTTCCAATAGAAGGTTGTTTCACCTACATTAAAAAACTGTTGTTCAGTGTAGCCACCTTCATCAATGATGTTAGCTAGATCTTCTGGATAACTTGCTACAGTGTCTTCATCAGCACTTGCTGTTTCACCTTGCACTTTTATGTTTTGAAGATAGCTTCTTTCCTTAAATTTCATGAACCAACCTCTACTAGCCTCAAACTTTTTTTGTGTAGCTTCCTCACCTCTTCCAGCCTTCACAGAATACACAAAAGTTAGGGCCTTGTTCTAGATTAGGTTTTGGCTTAAGAAAATATTGTGGCTGGTTTGATCTGCTATCCAGACCACTAGAACTTTCTCCACATCAGCAATAAGGCTGTTCTGCTTTCTTATCATTTGTGTGTTCACTGGAGTAGCTCTTTCAATTTCCTACAAGAACTTTTCCTTTGCATTCACAGCTTGGGTAACTGTTTGGCATAAGAGGCCTAGCTTTTGGTCTATCCCAGCTTTCAACATTCCTTCCTCACTGTGTAATCATTTCTAGCTTTTGATTTAAAGTGAGAGATGTGTGACTCTTCCTTTCACTTCAGCACTTAGAGGTTTGTGTAGGGTTAAGTGGCTTAATTTCAATATTGCTGTGTCTCAAGGAATAGAGAGGCCCAAGAGGACAGGGAGAGAGATGAGAATGATAGGGCAGGTTGGTAAAGCAGTGAGAACACAGACAACATTTATTGACTAAGTGTGGAATCTTTATGGGCATGGTTCATGTGCCCCCAAATAATGACAATAATAACATTAATGATCACTGATCACAGATCATTATAACAGATATAATAATAGTGAAAATGTTTGAAATACTATGAGAATTACCAAAATGTGACACAGAGACAGGAAAAATGGTGTTGGAAAAATGGTGCCAATAGATTTGCTTGATGCAGGCCTGCTACAAATTTTCAATTTGTAAAAAGCACAATATCTGTAAAGTGCAATAAATCAAAGCACAATAAAGAGGTATGCCTGTATATGAAAGCTTAAACACACATACACATTGTATTGAAATTACAGTTCTCAATACATGTGCTCAAGGATTAAGAGTTCATTGGCATCTACTCTAAGAACAGCAGTGATCTTGGCTGACTTTTCTAAGAGCACAGATGATGTTACAAGGAACAAGTAAATTGACACCTAGATATTATTCAATAAATCTTCTTAGAATAGCATATCATTATATTAATTATGCTCATTTGGTCAGTTACTTTGTTATTCAGAGTAATTAACAGGTAAATCTTAATTGACAAAAGACATATCTTAAAATCTCAGCAGCTTAACCAGTAAATGTTTATTTCCTATCACCTCTCTATCTGATTCTGGCAGAGAGGGCTCCTCCATCTGAAACGCATGGCCTCCATGAGACTGAAGCAAGATCTCCCTGGCCAGAGCCCAGTCACATGGCCCCAACTTGGGGGGCTGAGGAACTCAGAGGAGTGCACGATGTTTGGAGAGCACTTGCTTTCTCTGCCACAGTGATTCACCATATGCTCATCAATATTGATTGAGCAACTATTACATAAATTGGATGCTTTTTGGTAGGGAAAATCACCAACATTAGAATCAGACACATCTGATCATGATTCCCTACTTGCTGGATATTAATAATTAGCAAGTTTCTACACCTCTCTGAGTTTTATTTTTCACATCCATAAAATAAGAGTAATTATATTAAACCCCATAGGATGATTATATGTACCAAATAAGATACATATATAAAGTTCTTTGCACAATAGTGACATGAATAAATGCTGGGTTTCTTTTGCCATGCCTGCAGGGTTTTATTGGCAGAGTTATACAAGACAGAAAGATTTCTAAGTAATGGTCCCCATCCTCAAAGAGCATGCAAACTTGGAGATAGCAGTAATGCAAGTACACAAATGCTTAAAATAAAAGGCCTTATGAAAGAGCTATAGAGTTGATAGAAATAAGAGGTTCTAATGAGAACACATGGACACAGGGAGGGAAATAACACACTGAGGCCTTTCAGGGGTGGTGCAAGAGAAGGGAGAGTATTAGGACAAATAGTTAATGCATGAGGGGCTTAAAACCTAGATAATGAATTGATAGGTGCAGTAAACCACCATGGCACATGTATACCTATGTAACAAACCTGAACCTTCTGCACATGTATCCCAGAACTTAAAGTAAAGAAAAAAAAGATTCTTATTTAAAAAAAGGAAATAAGAGGTTCTATAAGAATTTAAAGGAAAAACTGTCACTTCTGGCTGTAGAAGGCTTTCTGGGGGAAGTTACATTTGAGCTTTGTTTGGAAGAATGGAGAGGACTTCAAAGTAAGATGGGAGGATTTGAGAATTGTATGTTGTATTAGTCAGAGTTCTTCAGAGAAACAGAATCAATAGGATGGATGGATGGATAGATAGATAGATAGATAGATAGATAGATAGATAGATAGATAGATAATAGATAGATAGATAAAGATATATGAGGGGATTTATCATGGGAACTGGCTCCCATGGTTATGGAGGCTGAGAAGTCCCATGATAGGCTGTCTGCAAGCTGGAGAACCAGGGAGCCAAGGCTGTGACTCTCAGTCTGAGGGCAGGTGGAGGTGCTGGTAAAAGTCTTGTAGCCCAAATGCTGGAGAACCTGGAGTTCTGATGTCCAAAGGCAGGAAAAGATGAGCGTTGTATCTGCAGAAGACAGAGAGCAAATTTGTCCTTCCTCCACCTTGTTGTTCTATGTGGGCCCTCAGCAGATTGGATGATGTCCACCCACGTTGGTGAGGGCTGATCGTTTTTGCTCAGTCCACTGCTTCAAATGCTAATCTCTTCCAGAAATGCCTGGAAATAATGTTTAACCTGCTATCTGGGTGTCCCTTAATCCAGTCAAGGTGACACCTGAAATGAACTATCACGTATGTAGAAAGAAGCATTTGAGTAAAGGGACAAAATTTTTAAAATTTATAAACTATTTAGTGGACCAGAAATAGATCAATTTTGACTGCAAGGGAAGCTTAGGATAGGGGAATGGTGAGAAATAAGGCTGAAAAAGATAAAGTGTCGATGGGGTGGGGAGGTCTTGAATGAATGTTTGTAGATGGAGTTTGGACGTGATCTGGTAGGTAATTGGCGGATAATTACAGATACAGACATTTTAAGGAGTAGAGTAATAGCATCAATGTGATGTATGTAGAAAGAGACAAAACTTGATGACAAGTAAATAATAACCAAAGTATTTTCCCTTCTCTCTAGCAGGGAAGAGAACCAAGAGAAAAAGGATCTTAGAAAATGTTTAATCCACTCGTGATAACTTGTAGATAAAAAAAATTGACATCAGAGAAATTACGTGACTAGCCTGAGGTTACTTGATGAAGCAGGAATGGGTACAAGATGTTCTGATGTCATCATTTTGATGCTGTCACTTTAGTGAGTTCTTTTCAATGCTTTGTTAACATTCTAATAGCCCAAAGCAACCTGGGATTCTCAGGCTGCCTCTGTCTTTCCTCTGAGGAGGAAACTAGCCCGAATGCCCTTGACATACCAGTGACTTAGCTTTCTAGGATTCCCAGATATGATTCTATTTTAATTCACTCAGTATCTGTTTGTTGACCACCTAGTGTATGTCAGGCACTGCATTTGGTGCTGTGGATACAACAAGGTTAACTTTGTGAGATTTCTGCCCTTAGATAAAGCATGTGGAAATTCAGAGAAGTAGGAAAATATTTTAGCTGAGGTTTTTCAGGAGGAAACCTAAGGAAAGAATGGCTTGAAGGTCAGGTTCACAAAGGAATGAATTTCTAAAGTTAGATATCCACAACCGGTGAAAACTGGCAACGGGGAGATATCTGAGACACCCTTCAAACTGCTCCAGTAAGAGCTTGTCTACTTCCCCTGCCTGTATAAGCAACCTTGGTTCCTAGTGGGTATATGTGTGGGACATTACAAGTACACATAAAAAATATTTGTACACACACATGCTTCTCTCTAATACTTATAAACTCATCGCAGTGGAAATTCGTTCCTTCCCCCTGCCCGCCGGTTGTCCATCATCCAATTCCCCCACTTCCTGCTCTCACCTCCCCACCTTTGGGACATCACTAGATAGTTGTCTGACCTTAGGATGAGAACCATGTTTGTGGTGATGGATAAATTTCCAGGATATTAGGAAAATCAGGTAGGATTTCAATGTTGATTTTTTTCTTGGTACCCTGGAAACTTATCCGTGACCACATTAATTGTTCTCATCCTAAGGTCCGGCAACTGCCTGTCAGTTGTTATCCATGCTGTCCCAAAGGTGGGGAGGTGGGAGCAGTCCACTCTGGGCTGCAGACAACAAGGAGCCACACAGTCTGTAGAATGCTTAAATATAATAACAAAACCAACTGAAAGCCCATCTCCTTATCATCCCCATGTGACTTCCACCAAAGTCTCAGTTCTAACAATTGCTTGCCGCAGAGCAAACTGCTCCCCTGCGTCACCCTGGACCCCCAGGGGTCAGGCCCAGCTTCCACCTTTCAGAGCCTGCTGAGAGGTATCAGTTCAGAGAATTCCCCCACCACCCCCATTCCCTCCCTACATCCTATCCTCGCTGATTGGGAGAAGGGAGGAGCACCTTTGGGGGAAATGCAGTGTTTGGGAGGGAGTGTCATTTGTTCCAGTCACCACCCAATTGGGAGAAAGGGACAGGCTTTCCAAAGCCAAGGGAGCATTCCAGCCACCCCTCCCTCTCCCTCCGAGGCTATCTGTGTCACCAGCCAACTTTCTGATCTGTTCCTAGTGACTAGAACAGAAGGAAAACAAATAACAGGGTAGAGAAGGCATGGCATTTCCAGGCAAAGTGAGGTTAGGAACTTCCCTTCCCCTGCAAATTTACCAGTTTCCAAGAGGCACAGTGCCTACAGCCTGAGAGGTGTCCACAGAGAGATTGCACAGGAACTGCAATCTTGCCAGGACTATCACTGAATGCTGGTGGTGGTTAGGGGACAGGGGTGGGTGGTAAAAAGTGGGGAGGCAGGATAGCAGGGAGGGGGAGAAGGGAGCCAAAACAGCTTGTTCCCACCAGCTTCTGGGTCAGTCAGAAGACATAGCCCAGTGTTCAGGAGGGCTCCCCTCATCTGTGTGGTGTGCTGGAGCCCACCACCTGGCCACATGTGGCACATGAACACACACAAAGCCATAGTTATAGCTAGGTAGGTCCAGGACACACTTGCTCTCCTCTCTGCCTGTACTGAGGGATGCAGGAATTACATTAATAGTTTCAAGTTTTAAGTAAAATATCCCTGCAACTGAGAATCCCACATCCTGTGTTTCCCCATCTAAGTGCACCCCAAGGTAGGCATGTGATTCAAGCTTGGGCATGCAGGTGCCCCTCTGGGCACATTTACTTTCAATGAATGAGGGAACACACAGGCTGGCTGGAGGCATATTCAGTGAGGGGACAGCAATAGGGTTCCTGCTAGAAGACCTTGGCTGTGGTGGCTTGTCCAGCCCATGAGAGCTCTCTCAGCTGCACATTTCCAAGCCTGTTCTCTCCTGGTTATCCAAGGATAGCAGAAATGTGTTTCTGTGGCTGATGGCATGAGTCCTGATAGACTCTTTAACTGCTGGAACTTGCCATAGACATCCACATCTCTACAATAGCACTGGTCACAGAACATTCTGGGTACAATAGCCAGAGTGTAATAATTATTTCTTCTTGATAGGGTGCAAACGCTCCAGGTAAAGTTCAACCATATGTTAGCTTTTCTGCCATCTTAAGTCCTTCAGCTTATGTGACCTGCACACTCTTGCTTTTCCTTCTTGCTCTGTGGAAATGCCTTTTCTGTCTCCTTTGACAAGTACTTCTCTGCCTGACTTTAAAATAATGGCATTCCTCAGGCTCTCTTTTTATTCTCTTCTTTCTGCTTAGGAGATTTCTTTCATCTCCTATATTTTAAAAACAATCTGTGACTGGCAGGACTTGTTCCAAAAACTCATTGTGCAAATATAAACCCATGTTCATATTTTGCAACTCAAATGAGATCTGGCTAGTTGAGAGCCCTGCCTTCCACATTAGCAAATATTGACGTATTTTCCCTTTGAGGACCCATCCTTCTGCTGATAACTCAGGAAGCCCTGAGCAGTCCAAGATGGGGCTAGGGTGGGGTGAATCCATTTCTCACTAGAAAAACCTGAAATTCCATCATCTTTTGCCTCTTGCTACCACATGGCTATTGACAACACATCCAACCCAGGTGGGCAGATGCCAGTGTTAATCCAGAGCCTGAGTAGATTCCCTAGTTGGGCCTTTCCTCCCACAGGGCCAGGTGTGGCCAGGGGCATCTCCCGTTTTCTTACCTCACATCTTAGGATCTGGTGCTCACCAAAGCTCCAACATCAGCCAGTGTTCCAACTCACCTTGCAAAGACCCAGAATGGCTGTTCTCTTCTTCCCTGAATTCCACCTGCTCAGGCCGGCCAGCACCTTCTTCCAGGGTTTCAACACAAAGGTGTCCTTAACCTCATTACTCCCACAATGGACTCTAATGTCCTCTCAGAATCCAAATGCAGCAACAAAGACATTCTCATAGCTCTCCTTTCCCTAACACCATGTCCCGATCAGATCCAGAAGCCACCCTCTACCATTTCAAGAAAGAGAATGTTCTTCTGTGATTTCCCCTTCGAAGGCAGACCAAGGTGATATTTTAGACTCTAACTGCTCACTAGCCCAGTGACTGTCAGAAAATTTTTTACCCTGACCACAGTAAAAAAAAAAAAAAAAAAAAAAAAAAAAAAAAAAAAACATACTTTATAAAAATAAAGATTCAGGAACTGTTCCAGATTAAAAGAGACTGAAGAGACACGACAGATGAGTGCCACACAGGATCTTGGATCTTCTTTTGCTGTAAAAGGCATTATTGGGACAATAACCAAAAATCCCAATACTGTCTGTAGATTAGATAATAACAGCATTTCAATGTTAATTTTCTGGTTTTGATAACTACATTGATAACTACATGTGGTTTATATTTTTAAGACATAAATACTGACTTTACGGGTAAAGGGGCATTATGTCTGCAGTTTTTGAATGATTCAGAAAAGTGTGTGTGTGTGTGGTGTGTGTGTGTCTATGTGTGTGTGTTTATATATAAAGAAAATGAAATAAAACATTAACTTATGAGGAATCTGGGTGAAGGATAAAGAATATCTGGGGGCCAGTTGCGGTGGCTCATGCCTTTAGCCCTAGCACTTTGGGAGGCCGAGGCAAGCGGACCACCTGAGCTCAGGAGTTCCAAGACCAGCCTGGCTAGCCTGGTGAAACCCCATCTCTACTAAACGTACAAAAATTAGCTGGGCATGGTGGCGTGTGCCTGTAATCCCAGCTACCTGGGAGGCTGAGGCAGGAGAATTGCTGGAACCCAGGGGGCGGAGGCTGCAGTGAGCCGAGATGGTGCCATTGCACTCCAGCCTGGGTGACAGAGCAAGACTCCATCTCATTAAAAAAGAGTATCTGGGAATGGCCAGGCGTGGTAGCTCACGCCTGTAATCCCAGCACTTTGGGAGACTGAGGCAGGTGGATCACGAGGTCAGGAGATCGAGACCATCCTGGCTCACACGGTGAGACCCTGTCTCTACTAAAAATACAAAAACTTAGCTGGGCATGGGGGCGGGCACTTGTAGTCCCAGCTACTCGGGAGGCTGAGGCAGGAGAATGGTGTGAACCCGGGAGGTGGAGCTTGCAGTGAGCAGAGATCGCGCCAACTGCACTCCAGCCTGGGCGACAGAGCAAGACTCCGTCTCAAAAATAAATAAATAAATGAATGAATAAAGATAATAAAAAAAGAGTATCTGGGAATTCTTAGACTTTTCTTGAAATGTTTCTTTAAGTCTGAAATTATGTCAATATTAATATAGTAAAAAATAGTTTTTATATTGCCACACAGTGAATGTACACATACTCACATGTTCACATATTTATTCATTCAATTAATGTTTAGTGACTGCCTACCATACACCATTCTAGGCAATGGATATACATCAATAATCGAAATAGGCAAAAACATTTGCCTATGAAGCCTATGTGTATATCTAGTCACCCATGATCATGTATGTATAAATGCACATATGTGTATGTGCATTATATATACTTGCATAAAAACTTTTAAGTTATTAGCGGAACACCATGATTTAAAAATTCTATCTCATTAATGAAGTAAAAAATATTGTTTTTCTGAGCCACTCAAGGATCATAATCTGTAGTTTACAAAGCACAGCACTAGAGCAGAGGAAGAAAAGCAACAACAAAATCCCCCCAAATTCAAGTTTCCATCCAGAGCATTTTATAACACTAATTTGTGAGTTACAATACAAACCTATCTTCTTTTTTACTTTTATTTTATTTTTGAGACAGGAGACAGGGTCTTGCTCAGTCAACCAGGCTGGAGTGCAGTGGCAAGGTCATAGCTCACTGCAGCCTCGAACTCCTGGCCTCAAGCTATCCTCCCACCTCAACCTCCCAAAACGCTGGGACTACAGGTGTGAGGCACCACGCCCACGCTAAATCTATCTTCTGATCTCCATATCTCCACATCCAACTGTAAATCTGCCATAGCTGCAGCCATTCCAAACTCTCCCAGTCTAAAATTAAACTCTTGATCTTTCCCTTAAGACTGTTCTTCCTCCAGCATTTCCCATTTCAGGAAATAACACCTCAACCCACCAGTTGCTCATCTTAGAATGACTGGAATCATCCTTAACACCTCCCTTTTCTTCACTCCCCACAATGATCAGTAACCAAGTGCCGTTGATTCTGTATCCTAAATATATCTTGAATTCATTTTTCCTTTTCTTTTTGTCTGACACTGTTTTAGTCTAAATTCATCAACATCTTTAACCTAAATTACTGTAATCGTTTCCCACTTGGTATCTCTATATCCAGTAGTTCTCACTTCAATTAATTCTTCATATGACAGTGAAAAACATTTTTTAAAGCCTAAGACAATTATGTCTTAACCTTTATGATCTTCCCAGAACTTGTAGGAAAAACTAACACATCCTCGAAAGTGTATTAATTATATTTTACTGTGAAGAAAAGAAAACCTAAATAACTGTGGATTCACTGGATAGAAATTTCTTCTTTCTCACATAAAAGACCTAAGAGGTAGGCAGATTAGGGCTGATTCATCGAATATGGTATCCAAGACCTGGATCTGGCATTTGCAGCATGCAGCTTTCACCCTGGTCAAGATATCTGCCTGATCTCCAGTCACTGCCTCCATCTTCCAGCTAACTGGAAGGAGAAATCAAATGGACAAGAACATTCTCTCCCTTGAGAGACCATTCGGCTGACCTTGAGTTGTTCCCAACTTTATCACGCAACCAGACGTAGCTGCAAGGCAGGTGGGATATAAAGTCTTTTATCCACTTGGACAATATCCAGCTAACAAGTTGCATTCATAATGAAGAGTTTGAAAGTGGATGTTGAGGTGCCACTACTAATCTGCCTTTAAGGCTGATCAACTCTGGCCACATTGGCCTCCCTGAAATGAACAAACATACCCACATCTCTGGGTCTTGGCCATGTTGCCACCTTCCTGAAATGTTCTTCTGCCTGCTTCCTTGGAAAAAACTTCTTTGACTCAAAAGGCAAGGGGATAATTACTCTCTTAACTCCTTGTGTATCTCACTCATAGCATTAACTTAATTATATATTTGTCCACATAAGCATTTGGCTAATATTGTTATATTGTATTTCAAATATTTCAGCCTAGTAGAGAGGCATGTGTATATAAACAGGTAAAACCTAATCCGTATCAACAAATTAGAGCTGGCCAATAATCTTATAAAGTTAGTACATTTAAACAAATCTATAAGGTATAACATAGCTTTATTACATAAGGAGTGACAGAAGTAATGGAGTTTGGCATATTTAAGATATGTGATTAGTTGGAAGTCAGATAGCATGCCCACTGTCCTTGTATGAATAAGATAAAAAATATAGTAAGCCCATTAGTACTCATGGCACTAGTGCTTTCACTGGCACTCATGGTCCAGTGCCCATCCAGGCTGTGACACGAAGTATATATTCATTTGTTGAGTGAAAAATAAATCAGTTAACTTGGCGTTTATTTCGTGGTTAACAATGCTTAGTATAAAACTAAAAAGCCACTTGAGAGATACAAATCAATACTCTGATGAGCTTCTTTTCATGTGTTTGTTGGTTGCATAAATGTCTTCTTTTGAGAAGTGTCTGTTCATATCCCTTGTCCACTTTTTGATGGGGTTGTTTGTGTTTTTCTTTTTTCTCGTAAATTTGTTTAAGTTCCTTATAGATTCTGGATATTATACCTTTGTCATATGGGTAGATTGCAAAATCTTTCTCCCATTCTGTAGGCTGCCTGTTCACTCTGATGCTAGTTTCTTTTGCTGGGCAGAAGCTCTTTAATCAAAACCACAATGAGATACCATCTCACACCAGTCAGAATGGTGATTATTAAAAAGTCAGGAAACAATAGATGCTGGCAAGGCTGTGGAGAAATAGGAACACTTCTATACTGTTTGTGGGAATGTAAATTAGTTCAACCATTGTGGAAGACAGTGTGGCAATTCCTCAAGGATCTAGAACAAGAAATACCATTTGACCCAGCCATCCTATTACTGGGTATATACCAAAAGGAATGTAAATGATTCTACTATAAAGACACATGCACATGTATGTTTATTGCAGCACTATTTACAATAGCAAATACTTGGAACCAACCCAAATGCCCATCAATGATAGACTGGATAAAGAAAATGTGGTACATATACACCATGGAATACTACGCAGCCATAAAAAAGAATGAGATCATGTCCTTTGCAGGGACATGGATGAAGCTGGAAGTCATCATCCTCAGCTAACTAACACAGGAACAGAAAACCAAACGCCGCGTGGTCTCACTTATAAGTGGGAGTTGAACAATGAGAACACATGGACACAGGGAGGGGAACATCACACACCGGGGCCTGTCAAGGGGTGGGGGGAAAAGGGAGGGAGAGCATTAGGACAAATACCTAATGCACGTGGGGCTTAAAACCTAGGTGATGAGTTGATAGGTGCAGCAAACCACCATGGCACAGGTATACCTGTGTAACAAACCTGCACATTCTGCACATGTATCCTGGAACTTAAAGTTAAAAAATAAAGAAAAGTAACAATAAAGGTAATTTAAAAATGTATGAAAAACAGTATTGTTGTTTTGCTGTGTGTTTGAATTACATTGCTGTCAAGTAGAGTGAGGTGAGCATTTGTATTTTGTCACAGGTTATGAACATTAAGATATTCTCATAACAAAACTCATCCATTTAATGTATACAATATATTAGATTTTACTATATTCACAGAGTTGTGCAACCATCATCACTATCTAATTTTGAATAATTAATCCATCCCAAAATGAAGCCCCACACCCGCTAGCAGTCACTCCTCATCTCCCTACTAATTTATTTGTATTTCTATTGTATTGTCCATTTCGGACATTTCATATAAATAATTGATTTCTTTCACTTAGCATAGTGTTTTTAAAGTTTATCCATGTTGTCACTTGTATCAGTCATTCATTTTTTTTTTCTTACAAATAACATGCCCTTGTTTGGATAGACCGCATTTTCTGTGTCTCTTCATCAGTTAATGGATGTGCAGGTCGTTTTCACTTTTTGGTTATTGTGAAAAATGCTGTAAGAACATTGGTGTACAGGTTTTTGGGTGACCATGTTTTCATTTCTCTTGGTTATTGGATAAGTATCCTGTTGCTTCTGTAACAAATCACCATAACTTAATGGCTTAACACAACCAAAATGTATTATCTTATGGTTCTGGAGGTCTGGAGTCCAAAATCAGTTTCACCAGGGTAAAATCAAGGTGCTGGCCATGCTGCCACCTCTCTGGGAGCTCCAGGGGGACCTTTTCCAACTTCTTAAGACACCCAAACTCCTTGGCTCTACCAGCGATGGCATCTCACCTGTGTTGCCATGATCATTATCAAAAGCTAATGGTTTCTGCCTCTGTTGATAATGATTTCTGCCTCCCGATCTCTGCCTCTGCTGTAACGTCTCTCTCTGCCTCTGTTGTTGCATGGCCTTCTCTGACTCTGATCCCCTCAACCTCCCTTTATAACAACACTTGTGATTACATTCAACCCACACAGATAGTCCAAGTTCATCTCCCCATCTGGAGACACTGAATCACAGGTGGAAATTTCCTTTTTCATGTAAGATAATATGTTCACAGATTTCAGGGATTAGGAGGTGAGCATCTTTGAGGGGCATTATTTTGTTTCCTATAGTATCTAGGAGTAGAATAGCTGGATATGGCAACTCTATGTTTAACATTTTGAGAACTATCAAACTGTTTCCAAAAGTGGCTGCACCAGTTTACATTTCCGCAAGCAAAATCTATGAGCCTTCCAATTTCTCCACATCCTTGCCTACCCTTGTTATTGTCTGTTGTTGTTGTTTTTTTTTATTATAGTCATCCTAGACGATGGGAAGTGGCATCTGTGTTTTAATGTGCATTCCCTAATGACTAGCAATGTTGAGAATCTTTTTATATGCTTCTTAGCCATTCTTACATTTTTTTTTTTGGAAAAATATCCATTCAAATCTTTTGCCCACCTTTCTTTTTAAGAGATGGGGTCTTGCTCTGTTTCTCAGGCTAGAGCGCAGTGACACAATCATATTTCACTGCAGCCTTCAACTCCTGGGCTCAAGCGATCCTCTTCCCTCAGCCTTCTGAGTAGCTAGGACTATAGGCACAAACCACCATGCCCAGCTAATTTTTTTTTATTATTTATTCTTGTAGAGACAGAGTGTTGCTATGTTGGTAGTTTTTTTGCCCACTTTTAATTAGATTATTCATCTTTTTATTGTGGACTTGTAAGACTTTTTTACATATTCTGGATAAAGTCCCTTATCAGATGTATGACATATAATTATCAGATGTATGATATATAATTTGCAAATGTTTTCTCCCCTACTGTGGGTGGCTTTTTTACTTTCTTGATGTATCATTTGCAGCAAAATGTTGTTAATTTTGATGAGGTCTTCATTAGTCAAAGTTCTTCAGAGAGACAGAACTAATAGGATATGTAAATGTAGATACAGATACAGATGGATATAGATATGGATACATGAGAGAGGATATATTAGGAGAACTGTCTCACATATGGAGGCTCAGAAGTTTCATGGTGGTGTGTCTGCAAACTAAAGATCCAGGGGTGCTGGTAGCATGGTTCAGTTCAGGTGTAAGGCCTAAGAACCAAGGAAGCCAATGGCATAACTCTCAGTCCGAGATCAAAGGCCTGAGAGCCCCAGGAGGCCTCTGGTGTACCTCCCAGAGTCCAAAGGCCAAAGACCCTGAAGTTCTAATGTCCAAGGACAGAAGTAAAAGGATGTTTCAGGTCCAGCAGAAAGAGAGAGAGAGAGCAAATTCATCCTTCTTTCCCCTTTTTATTCCATCCGGGCTCCAAGCTGATTGGACGGTGCCTGCCCACATTGAGGCAAATCGTCCCCACTCAGTCTATCTTTTTTTTTATTATTATTTAAGTTTTAGAGCACATGTGCACAATGTGCAGGTTAGTTACATATGTATACATGTGCCATGCTGGTGCGCTGCACCCACTAACTCGTCATCTAGCATTAGGTATATCTCCCAATGCTATCCCTCCCCCCTCCCCCCACCCCACAACAGTCCCCAGAGTGTGATGTTCCCCTTCCTGTGTCCATGTATTCTCATTGTTCAATTCCCACCTATGAGTGAGAATATGCGGTGTTTGGTTTTTTGTTCTTGCGATAGTTTACTGAGAATGATGATTTCCAATTTCATCCATGTCCCTACAAAGGACATGAACTCATCATTTTTTATGGCTGCATAGTATTCCATGGTGTATATGTGCCACATTTTCTTAATCCAGTCTATCATTGTTGGACATTTGGGTTGGTTCCAAGTTTTTGCTATTGTGAATAGTGCCGCAATAAACATACGTGTGCATGTGTCTTTATAGCAGCATGATTTATAGTCCTTTGGGTATATACCCAGTAATGGGGTGGCTGGGTCAAATGGTATTTCTAGTTTTAGATCCCTGAGGAATTGCCACACTGATTTACACAATGGTTGAACTAGTTTACAGTCCCACCAACAGTGTGAAAGTGTTCCTATTTCTCCACATTCTCTCCAGCACCTGTTGTTTCCTGACTTTTTAATGATTGCCATTCTAACTGGTATGAGATGATATCTCATTGCGGTTCTGATTTGCATAAAAACCCTAGAAGAAAACCTAGGCATTACCATTCAGGACATAGGCACGGGCAAGGACTTCATGTCTAAAACGCCAAAAGCAATGGCAACAGAAGCCAAAATTGACAAATGGGATCTAATTAAACTAAAGAGCTTCTGCACAGCAAAAGAAACTACCATCAGAGTGAACAGGCAACCCACAAAATGGGAGAAAATTTTCACAACCTACTCATCTGACAAAGGGCTAATATCCAGAATCTACAATGAACTCAAACAAATTTACAAGGAAAAAAGCAAACAACCCCATCAAAAAGTGGGCAAAGGACATGAACAGACACTTCTCAAAAGAAGACATTTATGCAGCCAAAAAACACGTGAAAAAATGCTCACCATCACTGGCCATCAGAGAAATGCAAATCAGTCTATCAACTCACATGCCAATATCCTCCAAAACCACCCTCTCAGACCCACCCAGAAACAATGCTTCCCCAATCATATAGGCTTCCCTCCATCCTGTCAAGTTGACAACTAAAATGCACCATCACAAGGTCCAATTTATTTAATTTTTATTTTGTTGATCTTGCTTTTGGGTATCATATCTAAGAAAACATTCCCTAATTTTATGTTACAAAGATTACGCCTATGTTTTTTTCTAAGAGTTTTATAGTTTTAGCTCTTATGTTGAGGCCTATGATTCATTTTGAGGTTTTGTGCATGTGTATGATATAATAAAGGGGTACAACTATGTCTTTCTTGGACATGTGGATATCTAGTTGTCCCAGCTCTTTTTGTTGAAATGACTGTTTCATTCCCCATTACATGATCTTAGCTCACTTGTTAAAAATCAGTTAAATATAAAGGTAGAGGTTTATTTTTACTCTCACCTCGATTCCATTCATTTATGTGTGTATCCTTATGTCAGTTGCGTTCTATCTTGATTACTGTAACATTGCAGTAAGCTTTGAAGTTGCAACTGTGGGTCTTCTAAATTTGTTTTTTTCTAAAATTGTTGTAGTTATTATGGGGTCCTTGTACTTTCATACATTTTATGACCAGCTTGTCAATTTCTGTCAAAAAGCCAGCTGGGATTTTGATCAAGATTGTGGTGAATCTGTAGATTAATTTAGGAACTATTAACATTTTAATGATAATAAGTCCTTTAATCCCAAAACCTGGGATATCTTTTCATTCATTTAGATCTTCTTTAATTTCCTTTGGGAATGTTTTGTATTTTCAGTGAAAAAGTCTCATACTGTACACAGTGTGCATTTGTTAAATTTTTCATAAGCATTTTATTTTGATGCTATTATAAATAAAATTATTTTCTTAACATTATTTTTGGATTGTTCCTTGCAAGTGCATAGAGATACAACTGATTTTTTTTTATTGATCTTGTATCCTGAAATCTTTGGAACTCATTCATGAGTTATAATAATTTTTTAGTGTATTCCTTAGGATTTTCTATATGCAGTATTATGCCATTTCCAATTAGAGATTATTTTACTTCTTATTTTCCAGTGTGGATGCCTTTTATTTATTTTTCTTGCTTAATTGCTCTCGTTAGAACCTCCAGTGCAATAGTGAATAGATGTGGCAGGAATGGACAATGTTGTTTCTGATTGTAGAGGAAAAACATTCTGTCTTTCACCAAGTATGGTATTAGCTATGGATATTTCACAGATACCTTTTATCAGGTTAAAGAAGTTTCCTTTTACTCCAAGTTTGTTGAGTGTTTTTATGATGAAGGAATGCTGGATTTTGTCAGATACCTTTTCTACATCTGTTGAGATGATCATGTGGTTTTTGTTCTTTTTTCCGATGTTAAATCGACTTTAATTTTTTAGACTTGGTTTCCTTTAATTCTTAGAACATATATGTGTGTGTATATATATTTATGTGTATATATATTTATATGTATATATAATAACTGGTTTAAAATATTTGTTCATTTGGCCCCTTGGGAACTTTTTCTGTTGACTGCTCTTTTCCTTCATATGAACCTTCCTTTCCTATTTATCTGCATATCTTCTAATATTTTATTTCAAATTGAGCATTTTTGATATGATGTGGCAACTCTGGATATCAGATTCCACCCCTACTCCTGGGGTTTGTTGTTGCTGCTGTTTGTTTAATGATATTTGTTAACTTATTCTGTAAAGTATTTATTCCCTGTAGTGTGAAGTTATTGAGCCTTTGCTTGGTTAGCTTAGCAGTCAAACAACAATTGGTCAGAGATTTTCTTACATGCCTTGAAGCTATAAAACTTCTGCCCTTTGCTGACAGACTGTGTGTGTGTGTTGGGGTGTGTTTTCAATGCTCAGGTAGTTTACACCTCTGTCTTAGCCTTCACTTCCTGCTTGTACAGGGCCTAAAAGTCAGCCAGAGATGGAAGATTGGGTTCCTCTCAGATGTTTCTAGGGAATGCACACAGCTCTGTACATGTATGTGGCCTTCCTTCTATATCCTCAGGAATATGTCAGAGCTTTCTGGAGCCCTGTGTGGGCCCATTCCCCAGATCTTCCTTTTAAGTTTTTGGCCAACCTCTTGTTTGGTCCTATTGGTATCACAGCCTCAGGCAACTGTGCTGCTAAACAATTTTCAAAGCTTTGTTTCCAACCAATTCTCTGGGGGTAGAGCTTTTCTAGCAGAGTGAGCTCCAAGTCAGGTCAGATAGTGACTGCAAATAGAGCTTTTCTGGCAGAGTGAGCTCTATGTCAAGTCAAATAGTGAACACTGATCTGAAGATGGGAACTTTTGAGAAGTTTCAAATCAAGTCTGTCCCATTTAGTGGCTGCAAGGCTGCTGGTTTTTATAGCAACTGTGGCTGCCAGATGGTTAGTATTCAAGGCTCCTACGAACAAGTTAAAAGATCACAAAGGCCCTGTTCTCATGTAGGTTCAGCAGTTTTTCTTAAATAAATGTTTCTCAAATAATTGCCTGCCTTTTATTAACTTTCAGAGCTCTGAACAAGTTGATTCTGATGGCTTTTGTCATTGTTTCTGTTGCTTTTATAGAGGAGCAAATTTATTTCAGTTCCTGTCTTCCATTCCAGAACTCCTTCCCCCCGGCAAAATTCTCACTGATTATCAAAATTTACCCCTCTTTAGTGATTAGAAATAGAAATTATAAAGCTAAACAAACAAACAACTTAATTCAGCCTTAGATAAAATTAAAATATATTATAAGTCACAGTGGTATATAATAAACCTTAAGAAAGAATCAGAGTTCACTATCAAGTATTTTCAATTTTATAGTATTCTTCTTATAAAAAGAATATTTACAATGCAGAGTCCAGATAAGAGCTCAGAGAATAATGAACATTCTTGAGAAAATATATATAAAGGAAAAAAATACTTAGTTATATTTATCCCAGTACTGAAATTACATCAGCTCTTCAATAGGACTAGAAAATCCTTCCTACTTGTTTGCCCAATATTAAGTACAAAGTTGTTGCTTAATTTTTCTGGTGCATAATCTTCTGATGATCAGGAAAACCACATATCTGGAATCAACTTTTCTTTTCACATACTGCATAAAAGAAAATATAAACTATCAGATTCAGATTCAAATGCAATAAGAAGCCTGAATTTTTTTTGACAGATAATAGCTTTCTATTGAAATTTCTATTGAATGTATGTGATAAATACAGTTAGATGTATTGGTAGAGACATATTTTACCTTCATGTAAGTTACTACTTAGTCTTTCAGCAATAGAAATAAAAGATGGCTATTGGTATTTAAACTTAACACAATGCTATGGGGTACAGAAGAACAATTCATAGAAAAATAAGTCTTTAAAGAATTGGAGGATGCCCTTATATTTTTCACTTCCTATAGTACGTGTTTTGGATTGCTACTGACACCATCTTTTTAAAAAAATTGATATTTATTCATCATGAAAAGGAAGCACCTGGTGATTTGACATTTTCTAAATTGTACCTTTTCTCCTAAACATCTGTTTTTGTTGAAAGCCTTTGGAATGAGTACACATCCAGGAGTGAAGAAGACAAGCTCAACTGCCATTCTCTGAGCAGTTCAAGGCATACTGAGTTGCGGGAGTTGTGTGGTGGTCCACTCTGACTGCAAGCACCCCTTTCTTGAACCGAACAGAGTCAAGTGGAATCAAAGGTGAGTCTATGACTTGTCTTGGACAAGAAACAGTTTATTGATGAATCAGCTGTGGCAACATGTCTTTCCTGCAGAGAGCTGAGTCAGAGCAAATTTAAGGCAAGTATTCTGACAGCTTCTAAAGAAGAATTTGCAAGTTGTTCCCTCCAGTCTGGCACAAACCCAGATCATTGAATAGAATTTAAGGTTTTGTGTTTTTTTTTTCAGTTGTGCCTGGGTGGTTTTCTTTCTTTTAAAAAAATTGACTGAAAAGTTTCCACTGAGTTCCAATCAATATGCCTGAGATGGGCCAAGTCATCCTGGCAGAGGGAAGCACTGAGATTGTATTTCTGAGATGTGCACCAGGAGGTAGGGTTCTCCAAGGGAGGGTAAGGGAAATGTAGAAGCTCAAGAGATCTGGTGGCTGTGAAGATAGATGGCTGCCATGGCCAGACTCGATGCCATGGGGTGTTCACTGGTGAATGTTGGCAGGCGGCTTTGGCTAGTTTCCTTGCTTCAATGCTGTGTGACCTGAATAAGCCATTTGGTTGCATTAATAGCTCCTTTTTTCAGCCCCCAAAATGAGAGATATGGAAATGAAGGAGAGTATATCCTTACTGTAAAAGTATGTTCTTGGATAGCCGAATATACATTAGGTAAATTTAAGCCAATAGTTTCACTGACATAGTATTGTTGAGATTTGTTTTTCTCCTCCCTCATTGATCTTTGCTGGCAATGGTACTGACATATTAGTTCAAGCGTCTTTGTCCTCAGCCTCTCTGACAAGGAGTTAATAAATTTTAATGAAGAATTTAGGAAAAAGCTCTCCTTTTGGAAATGACCGTATGTATAATCTTAAGTTTGAAAACACCTGTAAGTTAGTGGGAGCTCAAAATGAGAAGGGCTATGCATTCTAAAATATGCTGTTTCATTACAACAAGTATTTATGTGTATGCATTTTTAATGTGAATGAAATTAATAATTTGATTAATGACAATCTGTCAGCTGTAACAGCTGTAACTATGGTTTGGGTGGAAATAGAAAGTTTGAGATCCACAGGGTTAGCTTTCATTAGAAGTGTAACTCTGTGTTTGTGTGTGTGAATGTACACATGAACATGTAGTAGAAATTATTGATAAACTGAACTCATCAAATTTAAAAACATCTGTTCTTCAGAAAACATTTGACACTGATTTTAAAAAAGTGAAACCACAGATTTGGAGAAAATAGTCACAATATACATAACTGGCAAACCATCCAATGAAAATGAGCAAAGACTTAGACACTTATTAAGAGATATATCAATGATTAGTAAGCACATTAAAAAATGCTCCACATTGTTAGTTACCAGAAATGCAATTAAAATGACAACGTGCTAGCATTCACCATTCAGAATGACTAACATTAATAAGACTGAGAACACCAACTGTTCATGACGATGTGGACCAACTGGAATTCTCATACAATGATAATGAGGTATAAACTTACACAACCACATTGCAAAATACTTGGAAAGTTTCTTATAAAGCTTTTTAAAAATTGAAAATGTATTGTGTCATTCACGGATTACACTTCTAGGTATTTACCTAAGAGAAATGTAAACATGTCTACAAAAAGTTTGTGCAAGAATGATCACATAGCTTTATACATATTAGCCAGAACATGCAAAAATGGAAATGTTCACCATTAAGAGACAGATAAGCAAATTGTGGTATATTTATACCACAGAATACTACTCATAATGATACAGGAGCTAAAAAGAAATTATTTAGGCTGTTAGTGAGGGTAAGAGAGTCCTCAGTAAGGCTTCGCTTTTAACGAAAAGCAGCCCCCAAATCATTTCTTTTCTAATAAAGAGCAGCCCCTAAAATCAAGCTGCAGACAAAGAAAGGCAAGCTAGATGCTTGCACGGGTGAATGCTAGCAGTTGTGCCAATAGGAAAAGGCTACCTGGGGGCCAGGCATGTTCAACATGAGGCTCCACCTCCCTTTTTCTTTGTCAACCACATGTACAATAAAGGAACAGGCAACATGGCGCCGGACAGGTAGAGAACCCATTTGCATAATAAAAGATTAGGTTGAGGTGGCACACCTGGTCTGACCACTTCTCAAGCTTGTCTATAAAACCCTATGCGTTTCACCATAAAATTGGAAGACCCACTCAGGAGCTCCTCTCTGCAGGAAGGAGAGCTTTTCTCTTTTCTCTCACCTATTAAACCTCCACTCTTAAACTCACTTCTTGTGTGTCCATGTCCTTGATTTCCTTGGTGTGAGATGATGAACCTTGGGTATTTACCCCAGACAATGACACAGCTTCAGTAAGTAAAAGGGGAGTGAATTACTAATACCCACAACAACATTCATGAACCAAAAAAAACAGAACAAAACAAAACAAACAAACAAAAAACATGTTGAGCATTAAGGGCTAAAAACAGAAGAATATATTCTGCATGATCCCATTTATAAGCCTTTTAGGAACAGGCAAAACTAATCTCAGATGAGAGAAATCTGAAAATTGTTGCTTCAAATGCAGGGTATGGAGAGAACCGAGAAGGGGGCATGAGGAAACTTTCTGGAGTAAATGAAAATTTTCTCAACTCTGATAGTTGCATGAGTTGCACAAATGCACACATTTGCTAAAACTATTTAAACTGTGTACTTCATATTTGTACATTCCACTGTCTATAATTTTCAGAGTGTTTAAAATATATTTAAAGATAAAATTTGAGTCTGTAAAGACAGTAGAAGGAAACAACCCCATTAAAAACTGGGTAAAGGACCTGAACAGACTTTTCTCTAAAGACGTACACATGAAAAGTGGTCAACAAAAACATGAAAAAATGCTCAACATCACTAATCATCAAAGAAATGTAAATTAAAACCATGATGAGATATCATCTTACACCAGTCAGAATAGCTGTTATTAAAATGTCAAAAACAATAGATGTTGGCGTGGATGCGGAGAAAAGGGAACATTTACACAATGTTGGTGGGAATGTAAATTAGTACAACCTCTATGGAAAGCAGTATGGAGATTTTTTGAAGAACTAAAAGTAGAACTACCATTTGACCCAGTAATCACACTGCAGGGTGTCTACCAAAAGGAAAAGAAATCATTGTATAAAAAAGCCACCTGCACTTGCATGTTCATCACAGCACCATTCACAATAGCAAAGTCATGGAACCAACCTAAGGGTTCATCAGTGGTTGACTGGATAAATAAAGTGTGGTATGTATTCTGCATGGAATACTATGCAGCCATAAAAAAGAATGAAATCACATCCTTTGCAGCAAAATGAATGGAGGTGGAGACGATTATACTAAGTCAACTAACTCAGAAACAGAAAACTAAATACTGCATGTTCTCACTAAGGGTGAGCTAAACATTTGGCAGACATAGACCTAAAGATGGAAATAATGGACACCAGGGACTCTAAAAGGGGAAAGAGTTGAGGGGGAAGGTTGAAAAATAACCTATCAGGTATGATGTTCACTGTTTGGTAATGGTAATGGGTTCACTGGATGCCCAGTATCCACCAGTATGTAATATATTCGTGTAACAAACATGCACATGTACCCCCCTGAATTTAAAAAAAAACCAAATAAATAAAAGATATTAGGTTGAAAAAATAAATCAAGAGGTAGGAAAGGCTAGAAAATATCAAGAAAAAATGCTAAGTTGACAAATTTGAGTAATTAAAAATTATAATTTATGTATGGCAAAAATAAGAATATAGGTAATGTTAAAAGACAGATAAAAAAATAGAAAAATGTATCTAATATGACAAAGGGCTAACTAAAATCTAAAGAGCTTTTTGAAATCATTAAATACAAGTAATTACTCCCTATAAAATAGACAAAATCATAAATAGATAAGTTCACTGAAACAAATACGTATAGATATAGATAAATGTATATATATAATATCACACATGAAAAGATGTTGTACTCTATCCATAATAAAATAAATGCAAATTAGAGAGCAATTAAACATTTTTGACCTAATAGACTTGTAAAGAATGTAATGCTTGATAGTACACAGTGCTAGTTGCACTGGTATTCCCCACATTTTTGATGGAGTATGAATAAGTGCAAACTCTCTAAGAAGCAATTTGTCAATATACATCAAAATGTAAAATGTGCATATCCTGGAATCCAGGAATTGGGCTTCTAGGTCAAATATGCAAGGTTTTTTATTGCAGCATTGTTTGGAATGTCAAATGACTGGAAACAGTCAAGTTGGAACTGGTTACATAAATTGTGGTTACGTCCAGACATTGCTTACATACAGCCATGAAAAGGAACACGAAAGCTCTTTATATGATGATATGGATCTATCTCCAAGATACTTTGTTAACTGAGAAGCATAAGGTCATATCTGCATTTCTATGTAAATAAGAATGGATAAATGTAAATATAAATGTAACACATGCACAGAATATATTTGGAAGAAATAATAGCAAACGAACAGAAATTGTCTAAAGGGAGGGGCAGTAGTGTTGAGAGACAAGGAGAGGAGATGTTTACTTTTCACATCACCTTCTTGTAGCTGCATTTTTTTTTTTAACTATGGGCATGTATGTGGTTTAGAGAAAATGGCTTAGCTGGAGCTATCACCCAGAGCGCCTTTTTATGGCCTGTCGAGCACGGCTATGTCAGAACAGTTGACTTCTTACATGCAGTTCAGGGGTCCCAGAGAGATGTATTCCAAGGAATCAACCTTCAACTTGGCTTTGGAAATCATACACTGACACTTTTACTGTCTGTATAAGATAAGGCTGTTGCAAACCAACCCATATTTAAACGTAAGGGAAATTAACTGCATCTCTTGGTAGCAGGAACATCAAAAAATTCTTGACTATCATCTTTAATTCATTACAAATGTTATCAATAAAAAGTACTGTAAGAATTAAGAGGAGGACCAATTCATCAACATGAAGGTAGTGTCACACAGCTGTCTTTCAGTAAAATGTGCTCTGTAGCCTTCACATACATTTCCTTCCATTTCTCAGTAACTCCCTTTGGAATTAAGTATCCTGATCTGAGACAATATATGAGAAGAGTATCATAATCCGCGAGGACATGTGTGTCGGTTCCATTCAAAATGGCAGTTCATAATTTGACACACTCAGATATTTTTGTTGTTTTTGGTTTTCTTTCAGACCTCAGGTACAGAATAGAGTTTAAGAATTCTTATTTCATGGTCTGTTGTTGATTATTGGTTCTTGTTAGGCCTCTTTCTTGTTATTCATTCATTTTTTTTCACAGTTATGCCTTTTCCCTGTGTACCCCCCTCTCACTTCATATGCAACCATTTTAATGTATACTGTTTTGTATGTGTTCGAAACGAACATTACTGTTTTGTATGAATGTATTTTTATTGTTGTAAAATACACACAACGTACCATTTATCATTTAAAGCATTTTTAAGTGTACAATTCAGTGGCATTAATACATTTACAATGCTGTGTAACTATCATCTTTATCTATTTCTAAAACTTTTTAATCACTCCAAACAAACACTCTTAGTAATTATGCAATAACTCCCCATTTCCCCTGCCTTTTAGCTGCTAATAACCTCTACTCTACATTCCTTATCTTTAAAGTTGTTTTTTCTAGGTATTTCATCTTTGAGGAATCATGTAATGTTTATCCTTTGTGTCTGACTTCTTTCAGTTAGCATAATGTTTCCAAGGTTTATTCATACTGTAGCAACCATCAGAACTTCATTCAATTTTATGGCTGAATATTAATCCATTGTATGTATATGCCATTTTATCCAATTACTTATTCGTTGATAGATACTTGTTGCCACTTTCAGCTATTGTGTGTGAATAATGCTACTGTGAACATTGTTGTATGAGTATCCATTTAATTCCCCTTATTTAATTATTTTGGGAGTGGGATTGTAGGAGTGGAATTACAGGGTCATACGATAATTTTATATTTAACTTTTTGAAGAACTGTCAAACTATTTTCCATAGCAGCAATACTATTTTACCTTCCCACCACCAACTAGGATTCCAATTGTTCTACATCCTCCCAGCACTTATTTTCCATTTTTTTTAAAACAACAGTCATCTTAATGTGCGTAGTAATATTTCATTGTGGTTTTAATTTGCATGTCCCTAACAACTATAATGTTGACCATATCTCTATGCACCTAATGGCCATTTGTATGTCTTCTTTGCTTAAAGGTTGTTATTTTTGCTGAAGTTCAATTTATCTATGGTGTTGTTGTTGCTTTTGCTTTTGGTGTCATATTTAAAACGTCATTGCCAAATCCAACGTTATGATTTTCCCTTAAGTGTTCTTCTGTGTGTTTTACATTTTTATCTCTGAAGTTTAGGTTTTTAATCCATTTAGAGTTAATTCTTATATATGACATAAAGTAAGAGTTCAACTTTATTATGCATGTTTTCCCGCCATCTTTTGTTGGAAAGACTGTCCTTTCCCCTTTGAGTAGTCTTGAAACCTTGCTGAAAATGAATTGACTGGATATATGAGGGCTTACTTCTAGGCTCTTTATTCTATTCCATTGGTCCATGTCTCTATCCTTATGCCAATACCATGGTATTTTGATTACTATTGCTTTGTAGGAAGTTTTGAAATTGGGAAGCACGAGTCTTCCAATTTTGTTCTTCATTTTCAAGATCTATTTGGGGTCCTTTGAAGTTCCTTAAAAAATTTTAGAATAGGTTTTTCTGTTTATGCAAAAGACACCATTGGGATTTTGAAAGGATTACATTACATCTTTAGACAGCTTTAATTAGTTTTGTCATTTAAAAATATTTAGTATTCCAGTCTATGAACACAAGTTGTCTTTCTGTTTATTTATGTTGTCCTTAACTTTTTTCAGCAGCGTTTCGTTGTTTTCACTTTACAAGTCTTTTTCTACCTTGGTTAAATTTATTTGTAAATTGATTCTATCATTAATGAAACTTTTTTCCTTAATTTCCTTTACAGAGTGTTCCTTGCTAGTGTATAGAAATATACTGATTTTTGTGTGTTGATTTTGTATCCTGCAAATTTGCTGAATTTGTTTATTAGCTCCAACAGTTTTTTTTTTGTGGTTTCTTTAGAGCTTCCGACATATAAGCTTATATCATCTGAGAACAGAGATAATTTTATTTCCTCCTTCCAGCTTGGATGCCTTTTATTTTATTTTATTTTATTTTTGTCTAATTGCTCTGGTTGGAACTTTCAGTGCTATGTTGAATAGAAGTGATGATGATGAGCAATTTTGTCTTGTTCCTGATTTTAGGGGAAAACATTTCAGTCTTTCACCATTGGGGATGATGTTGGCTATGGGTTTTTCACATATGGCCTTTCTGATGTTGAAGGAGTTACCCCCTATTCCTAGTTTATTGAATGTTTTTATCATGAAAAGATGCTGGATTTTGGCAAATGCTTTCTCTGTATCAACTAATATGCTCATGTGAGTTTTTCCCCTTCATTCTATTAATGTGGTATACTGTATTGATTGATTTTCATATGCTGAAGGACATTTGAATTCCTGAAATAAAATTTACTTGGTCATGGTGTGTAATCCTTTTACTATACTGATAAATTTGGCTTGGTAGTACTTTGTTGAGTTTTTTTAAATCTATATTCATAAAAGCCTGCTGGTGTCTTTTATTATAGTATCTGTTCCCAGTTCTAGTATAATGGTACTGTTAGTCTTAAGGAAAAGCATTATAAAATGTTTCCGTCTCTTAGATTCCTTAGAAGAGTTTGAGAACTATTGATGTCAGTTATTCTTTAAATGTTTGATAGAATTCACCACTGAAGCCAACTTGCCCTGAACTTTTCTTTGTTGGAAGGTTTTTGATTTCTGATTCAATATGCTTACTTGTTATAGGTCTATTCAGATTTTCTGCTGCTTCTTGAATCAATTTTGTATTTTGGGTCTAGATGTTTCCATTCTATCCAGACTATCCAATGTGTTGGCATACAATATTCCATAGTATTTTCTTATCATCCTTCTTATTTATGCAAAATTGGTAGTAATATTCCTACTGTCATTTCTGATTTTAGCAATTTCAGTCTTTGCTTTCTTTTTCTTACTTAGTCTAGATAAAGGTTTGTTTATTCTGTTGACCTTTTCAAAGAATCAACTTTTGAGTCTATCATTAATCTATTCTCAATTTTATTTATCTCCACTGTAATCTTTATTATTCATTCCTTCTGCTAGCTTTGGGTTTACTTTAATCTTCTTTTTCTTGTTCTTTGGGTGTTCAGGTAGGTTGTTGATTTGAGATCTCTCCTTTTTTTAAATGTCACTGTTTACAGCATAAATGTCCCATGTAGCTCCTCTTTCACTGTGTCCTATAGGTTTTGAGATGTTGTTGTTTTGTTTGTTTGTTTGTTTTGATTTTTTTAATTATACTTTAAGTTCTAGGGTACATGTGCACAACATGCAGGTTTGTTGCATATGTACACATGTGCCATGTTGGTGTGCTACACCCATTAACTCGTCATTTACGTTAGGTATATCTCCTAATGCTATCCCTCCCCCTCCCCCCACCCCATGACAGGCCCCAGTGTGTGATATTTTCCTTCCTGTGTCCACGTGTTCTCGTTATTCAATTCCCAACTATCAGTGAGAACATGCGGTGTTTGGTTTTTTGTCCTTGCGATAGTTTTCTGAGAATGATGGTTTCCGGCTTCATCCATGTCCCTACAAAGGACATTAACTCATCCTTTTTTATGGCTGCATAGTATTCCATGGTGTATATGTGCCACATTTTCTTAATCCAGTCTATCATTCATGGACATTTGGGTTGGTTCCAAGTCTTTGCTATTGTGAATAGTGCCCCAATAAACATACGTGTCCATGTGTCTTTACAGAAGCATGATTTATAATCCTTTGGGTATATACGCAGTAATGGGATGGCTGGGTCAAATGGTATTTCTAGTTCTAGATCCTTGAGGAATCGCCACTCTGTCTTCCACAATGGTTGAACTAGTTTACCGTCCCACCAACAGTGTAAGTGTTCCTATTTCTCCACATCCTCTCCAGCACCTGTTGTTTCCTGACTTTTTAATGATCGCCATTCTAACTGGTATGAGATGGTATCTCATTGTGGTTTTGATTTGCATTTTTCTGATGGCCAGTGATGATGAGCATTTTTTCATGTGTCTATTGGCCGCATAAATGTCTTCTTTTGAGAAGTGTCTGTTCATATCCTGCGCCCACTTTTTGATGGGGTTGTTTGATTTTTTCTTGTAAATTTGTTTGAGTTCTTTGTAGATTCTGGATATTAGCCCTTTGTCAGATGAGTAGATTGCAAACATTTTCTCCCATTCTGTAGGTTGCCTGTTCACTCTGATGGTAGTTTCTTTTGCTGTGCAGAAGCTCTTTAGTTTAATTAGATCCCATTTGTCAATTTTGTCTTTTGTTGCCATTGCTTTTGGTGTTTTAGACATGAAGTCCTTGCCCATGCCTATGTCCTGAATGGTATTGCCTAGGTTTTCTTCTAGGGTTTTTATGGTTTTAGGTCTAACATTTAAGTCTTTAATCCATCTTGAATTAATTTTTGTATAAGGTGTAAGGAAGGGATCCAGTTTCAGCTTTCTACATATGGCTAGCCAGTTTTCCCAGCACCATTTATTAAATAGGGAATCCTTTCCCCATTGCTTGTTTTTTTCAGGTTTGTCAAAGATCAGATGGTTGTAGATGTGTGGTATTATTTTTGAGGGGTCTGTTCTGTTCCATTGGTCTATATCTCTGTTTCGGTACCAGTACCATGCTGTTTTGGTTACTATAGCCTAGTAGTATAGTTTGAAGTCAGGTAGTGTGATGCCTCCAGCTTTGTTCTTTTGGCTTAGGATTGTGTTGGAAATGTGGGCCCTTTTTTGGTTCCATATGAACTTTAAAGTAGTTTTTTCCAATTCTGTGAAGAAAGTCATTGGTAGTTTGATGGGGATGGCATTGAATCTACAAATTACCTTGGGCAGTATGTCCATTTTCACGATATTGATTCTTCTTATCCATGAGCATGGAATGTTCTTCCATTTGTTTGTGTCCTCTTTTATTTCATTGAGCAGTGGTTTGTAGTTCTCCTTGAAGAGGTCCTTCACATCCCTTTTAAGTTGGATTCCTAGGTATTTTATTCTCTTTTTAGCAATTGTGAATAGGAGTTCACTCATGATTTGGCTCCCTATTTGTCTGTTATTGGTGTATAAGGATGCTTGTGATTTTTGCACATTGATTTTGTATCCTGAGACTTTGCTGAAGTTGCTTATCAGCTTAAGGAGATTTTGGGCTGAGACGATGGGGTTTTCTAGATATACAATCATGTCATCTGCAAACAGGGACAATTTGACTTCCTCTTTTACTAATTGAATACACTTTATTTCTTTCTCCTGCCTGATTGCCCTGGCCAGAACTTCCAACACTATGTTGAATAGGAGTGGTGAGAGAGGGCATCCCTGTGTTGTGCCAGTTTTCAAAGGGAATGCTTCTGGTTTTTGCCCATTCAGTATGGTATTGGCTGTGGGTTTGTCATAAATAGCTCTTATTATTTTGAGATACATCCCATCAATACCTAATTTATTGAGAGTTTTTAGCATGAAGCACTGTTGAATTTTGTCAAAGGCCTTTTCTGCATCTATTGAGATAATCGTGTGGTTTTTGTCTTTGGTTCTGTTTATATGCTGGATTACGTTTATTGATTTGCATATGTTGAACCAGCCTTGCATCCCAGCGATGAAGCCCTCTTGATCATGGTGGATAAGCTTTTTGATGTGCTGCTGGATTCGGTTTGCCAGTATCTTATTGAGGCTTTTTGCATCGATGTTCATCAGGGATATTGGTCTAAAATTCTCTTTTTTATTGTTGTGTCTCTGTCAGGCTTTGGTATCAGGATGATGCTGGCCTCATAAAATGAGCTAGGGAGGATTCCCTCTTTTTCTATTGATTGGAATAGTTTCAGAAGGAATGGTACCAGCTCCTCCTTGTACCTCTGGTAGAATTCGGCTGTGAATCCATCTGGTCCTGGACTTTTTTTGGTTGGTAGGCTATTCATTATTGCCTCAATTTCAGAGCCTGGATTCAGCTTCTTCCTGGTTTAGTCTTGGGAGGGTGTATGTGTCCAGGAATTTATCCATTTTTTCTGGATTTTCTAGTTTCTTTGCATAGAGGTGTTTATAGTACTCTCTGATGGTCGTTTGTATTTCTGTGGGATCGGTGGTGATATCCCCTTTATCATTTTCTATTGTGTCTATTTGATTCTTCTCTCTTTTCTTCTTTATTAGTCTTGCTAGCAGTCTATCAATTTTGTTGATCCTTTCAAAAAGCCAGCTCCTGGATTCATTGATTTTTTTGAAGGGTTTTTTGTGTTTCTATTTCCTTGAGTTCTGCTCTGATCTTAGTTATTTCTTGCCTTCTGCTAGCTTTTGAATGTGTTTGCTCTTGCTTCTCTAGTTCTTTTAATTGTGATGTTAGGGTATCATTTTTAGATCTTTCCTGCTTTCTTTTGTGGGCATTTAGTGCTATAAATTTCCCTCTACACACTGCTTTAAATGTGTCCCAGAGATTCTGGTATGTTGTGTCTGTGTTCTCATTGGTTTCAAAGAACATCTTTCTTTATTTCTGCCTTCATTTCATTATGTACCCAGTAGTCATTCAGGAGCAGGTTGTTCAGTTTCCATGTAGTTGAGTGGTTTTGAGTGAGTTTCTTAATCCTGAGTTCTAGTTTGATTGCACTGTGGTCTGAGAGACAGCTTGTTATAATTTCTGTTCTTTTACATTTGCTGAGGAGTGCTTTACTTCCAAGTATGTGGTCAATTTTGGAATAAGTGCAATGTGGTGCTGAGAAGAATGTATATTCTGTTGATTTGGGGTGGAGAGTTCTGTAGATGTCTATTAAGTCTGCTTGGTGCAGAGCTGAGTTCAATTCCTGGATATCCTTGTTAACTTTCTATCTCGTTGATCTGTCTAATGTTGACAGTGGGGTGTTAAAATCTCCCATTATTATTGTGTGGGAGTCTAAGTGAGATGTTGTTGTTTTTATTAATCTCAAGGTGTTTTCTAATTTCCCTTGTGATTTACTCTTTGACCCATTTGTTGGTTAAGACTGTGTTGTTTAGCTCTTACAGATTTGTTAATTTTCTAGTTTTCCTTCTGTTATTGATTTGTAGTTTCCTTCTATTGTGATTAAAAAAGATTTTTTGTTTTAAAATTTCAATATCTTAAATGTTTTGAAATTTATTAAGAAATTTTGTGATCTAGCCCTATGGTCTATCTTGCAGAATGTTCCAAACATACCTTTTGAGAAGAATGTGTATTTTTCAGTTGTTGCGTGGATTGTTTTGTATATGTGTATGGGTAAAATTGGTTTATTGTGTTGTTCAAGTCCTCTATTTCCTTTTTGATCTATTCTGCTATATGGCCGTATGGTTATTCTGCTCACTATTGAAAGTGTAGTATGAAAGTCTCCAACTGTTATTGTAGAACTATCTACCTCTCCCTTCAATTCTGTTCATTTTTGCTTCGTATATTTTAGAGTTCTGTTGTTAGATGCATATATGTTTATAAATGTTATATCTTCATGATGGTTTGAACATTTTATTAATGTATAATGTCCTCCATTGCCTCTAGTAAACTTTTTTGAATTAAAGGTTAGTTTGCCTGACAACGATATAGCCACTTCAGCTCTTTTTTGGTTATTATCTGCATGAAATATCTTATCTCATCCTTTCATTTTCAACTTCTTTGTGTCTCTGTATCTAAAGTGAGTCTCTGGTATACAGTACATAGATCATGTTTTTATTTTTTAATTTATCCACTGTTTTCATCCCTGTCTTTTAATAGGAGGTTTTCATCAATTTGAATTTAAAGTAATTACTGATAAGAAAGGATTTATTTCTACCATTTAGCTATTTGTTGTGTATATTTTACATGTTTATTTATTTTACTTATTCCTCATTTGCTACACTACACTACTACAGTACTGCCTCTTTTTGGAGTTAGTTGATTTTTTGTAGTGTGCCATTTTGATTCCCTCCTTCTTTACTTTTCTGTATATTTTTAAGTTATTTACTTAGTGGTTGCCTTAGGAGATTAATATTAATATCTTAAACTGATAACAACCCAGTTTGAGTAATATCAAATGAGTTTCAATAGTATGCAAATACTCTGCTCCTATACATCTCTTTTCATTCCCCTTTATGTTATTGTTGCAGATGTATCCTTATACAGTATTTGCCCTTTAAGATAGACTTATAATTTTATGCATTTGACTTTTAAATCGTGTAGGATAAAAAGGGAAGTTACAAACCAAAAGTATAATAATGCTGGCCAGTATGTTTACCTATATAGTTTCCTTTACCAGTGTTCTTTATTTTATCCTATAGCTTCAAGTTACTGTCCAGAGTCTTTCCATGCCAGCCTGAAAAACTCCCTTTAGTATTCTTTATAGGGAAAGTTACTGGAAAGTTAATCTCAGCTTCTGTTTTACTGAAAATGTTGTAATTTCTCCTTCACTCTTAAACGGCCATTTTACCAGATAGAGAACTCTTCATTCACAATTTTATTCTTACAAGACTTTGTCATCCCACTGCCTTCTTGTCGCCAAAGTTTCTGATGAGAAATACATTGTCATTGTCAGTCTTATTGAGGACTCACTGTACATGACAAGTCACCTCTCTTGCTGCTTTGGAAATTTTCTCTTTGTCTTTTACTTACAACAATTTGACTATAATGTGTCACAGTGTAGATTTTTTTGAGTTTCCTGTTTGAAGTTTATTGGGCTTCTTTGATATATGTATTAATGTCTGTCAGATTTGGGAAGTTTTCATCCATTATTTCTTCAGATAATTTTTTCTGCTTCTTTCTTTCTCTGTTCTCCTTCTCATACTACTATGACATGGTTTGTCTGTGTCCCCACCCAAATCTCATCTGGAATTGTAACTCCCACAATTCTCATGTGTCATGGAGAAAGCCAGTGGGAGGTGATTGAATTATGGGGGCTGGTCTTTCCTGCACTGTTCTTGTGATAGTGAATGGGTCCCATGAGATCTGATGGTTTTAAAAATGGGAGTTTCCCTACACAAGCCATCTCTCTTTACCTGCTGCCATCCACATAAGAGGTGACTTGCTCCTCTTTGACTTCTGCCATGATTGTGAGGTCTCCCCAGCCATATGTAAGTTCAATAAACCTCTTTCTTTTGTGAATTGCCCAGTCTCAGGTATGTCTTTATCAGCAGCATGAAAATGGACCAATACATACTATGTGCAGATGTTGGTATACTTGATGTTATGCAACAGGTCCTTCAGGCTCTGTTTATTTTTTAATCTTTTTAAAAATTTTGCTCTTTAGTCTTAATCATTTTAATTGTCATATCTTCAAGGTTACAGAGCTTTTCTTTCATGTATTCAAATCTGCTGTTGTAGCTCTCTAGTGAATTTTTCCTTTCAGATGTTGTAACTTCAGCTCCAGAATTTCTGTTTGGTTCCTTTTTCATAATTTCTATCTCTTTATTGATATTCTGTTCATACATTATTTTTCCAATTTCCTTTAGTTCTTCATCCATGGTTTTTTTTAGGTCACTGAGCTTATTTCAGGCAATTGGTTAATCATCTTTGGTTAGTAATTCCAGTATCTAGGCTTTCCCAGGAATGATTTCTGTCAAATTCTTTTTCTTTCCTGTGAATGAGTTAATACTTTTCTGTTTCTTTGTATTGCTTGTAATTCTTTTTTTGAGAATTGCACAATTTGAGTATCAATGTGGTAAATTTGATTATCTGAGAACTTAAGGATTATTGATTTCTGCTTGTCGAAGGATGGGGCAGTCTGTTTGTGACTTTTCTAAACCATTTTTGCAAAGTATATTCCTTGTTGTACGTGCTAACTAAAATTTATATTCCATTATCTCTGCTATCAGCTAGTGACCTGACAAGGATTTTCTTAAATGTCTGGCTCCAAAAACAAAAAAGAAAAAAGGGCATTGGCCCTT